>NC_000013.11:83910369-84063209 GCF_000001405.40 Homo sapiens
CACGCAGACATGAGGGCTAGGCTAAAACAGTAAGGTCAAGTTGTTTGGACAGAAAGGCTACAGGGTGCAGTCCTGGCTCTTGTGTAAGAACTCTGACCGCACTAACCATGCCTAGGAAGGAAAGGAGTTGTTGTTTTGTAAGGGATTGAGGTTTGGGAGATTAATCGGACATGATCAGCGGGAGAGCACGTGTGTTTTTATGAGAATTATGCCGAGATAGGTAACAGATGAGGATGAAATTTGGGCATGACTGAAGTAATGGGGGCTGTCTGTGAAGCCTTGCAGCAGTACAGCCCAGGTAATTTGCTGAGCCTAATGGGTGTCAGGGTCAGTCTAAGTGAAAGCAAAGAGAGGCTGGGATGAAGGGTGCAAAGGAATAGTAAAGAAAGCATGTTTGAAATCCAGAACAGAATAATGAGTAGTAGAGGGAGGTATTGGGGATAGGAGACTATATGGGTTTGGCACCACGGGGTGGATAGGCAAAACAATTTGGTTGATAAGGCGCAGATTCTGAACTAATTTGTAAGCCTTGCCTGGTTTTAGGACAGGTAAAATGGGGGAATGGTAAGGAGAGTTTATAGGCTTTAAAAGGCCATGCTGTAGCAGGCGAGTGATAACAGGCTTTAATCCTTTTAAATCGTGCTGTGGGATGGGATCTTGACATTGAGCGGGGTAAGGGTGATTAGGTTTTAATGAGATGGTAAGAGGTGCATGATCGGTCGCCAAGGAGGGAGTAGAGGTATCTTATACTTGTGGGTTAAGGTTGGGGAATACAAGAGGAGGACGCAAAGGAGGCTTTGGATTGGGAAGAAGGGCGGCAATGAGATGCTGTAGTCCAGGAATAGTCAGGGAAGCAGATAATTTAGTTAAAGTGTCTCAGCCTAATAAGGGAACCGGGCAGGTGGGGATAACTAAAAAGGAGTGCTTAAAAGAGTATTGTCTAAGTTGGCACCAGAGTTTGGGAGTTTTAAGAGGTTTAGAAGCCTGGCCGTCAATACCGACAACAGTTATGGAGGCAAGGGAAACAGGCCCTTGAAAAGAAGGTAATGTGGAGTGGGTAGCCTCCGTATTGATTAAGAAGGGGACAGGCTTACCTTCCACTGTGAGAGTTACCCGAAGCTCGGCGTCCCTGATGGTCTAGGGGGCTTCCCAGGCGATCGGGCAGTGTCAGTCTTCAGCCGCTAAGCCGAGAAGATCTGGGAAGGAGTCAGTCAGAGAGCCTTGGGCCAGAGTTCCAGGGGCTCTGGGAGTGGCTGCCAGGTGAGTTGAACAGTCCGATTTTCAGTGGGGTCCTACACAGATGGGATGCGGCTTAGGAGGAATCCCGGGCTGCGGGCTTTCCTTGGCCCGGTGGCCAGATTTCTGGCACTTGTAGCAAGCTCCTGGGGGAAGAGGTTCTGGAGGAACGCCTGGCTGCTGCAGTTCAGGCGTTTGGAAGTTCTTGTGTGCTGGAGATGTGGCTGGGGTTTGTCTCACAGTGGAGGCGAGGAATTGCAACTTTTATCTATTATTGTACACCTTGAAGGCAAGGTTAATTAAATCCTGTTGTGGGGCTTGAGGGCGGGAATTTAATTTTTGGAGTTTATTTAATGTCGGGAGCAGATTGGGTAATAAAATGTATATTGAGAAGAAGACGGCCTTTTGACCTTTTAGAGTCTAGATCTGTAAAGCGTCTCAGGGTTGCTGCCGAACAAGCCATGAACTGGGCTGGGTTTTTTATGTTTGATGAAGAAGAGCCTAAACGCTATCTGATTTGGGATGAAGAAAAAGGAGCATTAACCTTGACTATGCCTTTAACTCCAGCCACCTTTTTAAGAGTAAATTGCTGGGCAGGTGGGGGAGGGCTAGTCATGGAATGAAACTGTAAGCCAGACCAGGTGTGAGGAGGGGAGGTGATAAAAGGATTAGAGGGTGGAGGAGTGGAGGCTGAGGAAGAATTGGGACATAGCTTGGCCTGGAGAGGAGGGGAGAGGTCAGATAGGTCTGTAGAAAAGGAAGATTAGAAAGACTCAGCGACACTTGGGGTTGGGACCTAGGGGACAGGCGGGAGGGAAAGAAGGAAGATTTGGGACGAGTTGCGTTGGGCACAGAGACTAGGAAGGGACTGATGTGTAAAAGAATGCCTGGACGTCAGGCACCTGAGACCGTTTGCCTATTTTACGACAAGAATTAGTTAGATCTTGCAGGATGGAAAAATTGAAAGTGCCGTTTTCTGGCTATTTGGAACTACTGTTGAGTTTGTATTGGGGTCAAGCGGCATTGCAGAAGAAAATAAGGCATTTAGGTTTTAGGTCAGGTGTGAGTTGAAGAGGTTTTAAGTTCTTGAGAACACAGGCTAAGGGAGAATAAGGAGGAATGGAGGGTGGAAGGTTGCCCATAGTGAAGGAGGCAAACCCAGAGAAAAGAGAGCATAGCGACACGGAGGGAAGGGGTTTGGGGGTTCTTACCCTCCAGAAAAGTGGGAAGGGGAGTCGTGGAAATAAGGGATTGGGGCACAGAAATAAGAGGTTGGGGTGTGGAAATAAGGGATTGGGGTGCAGAGATACGAGGTTGGGGTACTTGCCCCTCCCCCAGAAAAGCGGGACTTGCCGCTAAGGGTGAAGGACTAAGGCAGGCATCCCTGCATGGTCTGACACCTTTGAAACTTGGGTGAATACTCAGAGAGGCGTCCCTGCAATGATTAAACACCAAGGGAAGGCTGCCTTCCCAGTCCGTGACCAGTGCCAGAGTTTTGGGTCCACAGATAAAACAAGTCTCCTTTGTCTCTACCAGAAAATGAAAGGAATTGAAATTAAGAGAAGGGAGAGATTGAAGTGTGGCACCAAGATTGAAAGGAGAAAGAGGTTGAGGGATAGTGAGGGAGGTTGGAGAAGAGAGTAAAAAGAGGCCGCTTACCGGATTTGAAATTGGGGAGATGTTTCTTGGGCTGGTCGGTCTGAGGACCTGAGGTCGTAGGTGGATCTTTCTCATGGAGCAAAGAGCAAGAAGACGGGGGATTGATCTCCCAAGGGAGGTCCCCCGATCCGAGTCACGGCACCGAATTTCATGTGCGTCCGTGTGAAGAGACCACCAAACAGGCTTTGTGTGAGCACCATGGCTGTTTATTTCACCTGGGTGCAGGTGGGCTGAGTCCAAAAAGAGAGTCAGCAAAGGGTGGTGGATTATCATTAGTTCTTATAGGTTTTGGGATAGGCAGTGAAGTTAAGAGCAATGTTTTGTGGGCAGGGGTGGATCCCACAAAGTACATTCTCAACAGTGGGGAGAATTACAAAGAACTTTCTTAAGGGTGGGGTAGATTACAAAGTACATTGTTCAGTTAGGGTGGGGCAGGAACAAATCACAATGGTGGAATGTCATCAGTTAAGGCTATTTTTACTTTTGTGGATCTTCAGTTACTTCAGGCCATCTGGATGTATACCTGCAAGTCACAGGGGATGTGATGGCTTGGCTTGGGCTCAGAGGCCTGACATGTACTTTTTTATAATCCTCAAGAAAAATCTGCCTCTTTTATTATTCTTTTGTTTTTTTTCACTGACAACTTTGGTTTTGTTCATCTTCTCTATTGAATCTTCATTCTCTAATTTAATAATTTATACTCTCATGTTATTTCTTATCTTCTTGCATTTATTTGATGTTCCTTTTTCAGACAAGCTGAACATTTTGCTCACTATTTTTATCCTTTTATCCTTTACTAATGTAAATATTATATCCATAATTTTTAAAATATATCTGACACCACCTTTGCAAAATTATTGACAGTAAGAGAAATCTGACACAGTTGAATTCATCTTGCTTCTAACCTCCAAGATGTCCTTGGTCACTCCTGGACATAGACCAAGCTAACTTGGAGAAGAACTTATAGTTTAACCTTAAAGCAAAGATGATAATAGCTCCTCTGAAAACTAAACTGCCTTTGTAAAATTAATGAAAGTCTACAAGGTTATGTTTATGAGAGGGGCCTGAATTCTGCTAAGATGTAGGCAGAGTAAACTGATAACCAGCCATTGTTATGGTCACAAGATTTGTAACTTCCTTAATCACTTGTATAGATAACATCACTATTGTAGAACCAAAGATTGGCTCTTTGAGAGTCTTTTCAGACTTTTGCATTTCTCATGACGAGTTGACTCCACCCAGCCCTGAAACTCATACCTTAACTGGTCCTGTGGCCCCCACCCAGAGGCTGACTCAGCACAGCTGGACTGCTTTCCATACCCCACCCCTCTAATTTCATCCCCAACCGGTCAACATTCCCCGTTCCCTAGTACCCAGCCCACCAAACTGTCCTTGAAAAACTTTGAGTAATAACTCCATCTGCCCACTTGGTGTCTTCGTGTCAATTACACTTTTTATTTTCTCAGTGAAGTAATTTTGTCTGTATGGCAGGCAGCAAAAACCCTTCAGGCAGTTACATATCCTTTTGCTTTGTTTCAATATGTGGTATTTTCATTGACTTCCATTTTTATGTTACAGGAGAAGTTCATTTGGAGACATATAGAAGTGGATTTAAAAATGTCCACAGGTAGGAGAGTAACTTTGTATCTGATACTGGTATCTAACTTAAATTGCATTGTGATTCAAGCATATGACCAGTTTCACAATCATACTTTAAGTGTTAAACTTACCTTATTGTCTAATACATAATCCCTTGTAACACATATTAACTTTACAGTTGTCCCTGTGTATCTGTGGGGAATTGATTATAGGATCTCTGTGTATACCAAAATCTGAGGATACTCAAGTCCTTTATATAAATCTATGGACTTTCTCCCATGTACTTTAAGTCATCTCTAGATTATTTATAATAGCTAATACAATGTAAATGTTGTATACATGGTTGTTATACCGTATTTTATTTGCATTATTTTTTATTGTTGTGTTTTTTTATTTTTTATTTTTTCCTGATATTTTTTATTTGTGGTTGGTTGAATCTACAGATGAGGAACCTAAAGATTTGGGTTCCTCTGGGTTCTTATATATTAGTTATGGCTTGGAAATAGAGTAAGTAGCCAATTTTTATAATTAACTGGAAAATTTCTTTTCATTTATTATAATTCCTGACATTTAAATTTACTTCTACCTAAATATTTTGCATATTCAATTTGTCCAACTTTTTATATACTTTTTAATCTTGTCTTATTTTGGTCTGCCTCTTTTTCACTCGGTACAAATTTTTCATTCCAAATTTTCATCACAATTTTAATAATTAGGTAGTCACACTCTAATTATATACTTTTTTGTGTGCTTGAAACTATCATACATACCTAAGTCAATAAGTTTAAAATCTAAATTTAAAGTATATAATTATATTTATCTTTCACAATGCAAAAGCTTTAGAACATTTAAGCTTCAATCACTCTTCACATTTTACATGCTTTTATAGTTCAGTTTAATAAGATCAAATTAACAAGATTTTAATAAGTGTAGTAAGCTTGCTGTTTGACCTCCTCTTGTTTCTTTGATTTACCTATATGCATATAATTTTCCACTTACATTTTTTTACCTCTGTCCTTCCTTCTGAGATCATTTTCCTTACACATGTGATCTCAATCTATATCATTGCTCATGATAATTGTGACTCAAATCCAACTAATTAATTTGTTTGTAAACTCTTTCTCTAGGGAAAAATTTAGGATCCACTCTTTATCTTTCAGAATTTTTATCACTTATTCTTTTGGGCATTGGCCAAGGCTAAGCAGCTTAGACACAACTTTCTGAGAAGTTTTCTTTTATTAGCTTTTACTTTCTTTGCTCTCTTTATTAAGATTTTATTTATTGTGGATTGGATTTCATGAATTGTTGTTTTCCTCATTTTATCCTTTTTTATTTATTTGGTATATATCTTAACTTTCCTAAGCTGTCAATTTTTAAAGTTTAATTTTAGAAATATCTTTAATTTTAAGAGCTTCTCATTTCTTGTTTTCTTTTTTATATTCTTTCTTGTGTTGTGAATGCAATATTTAACTCAATTATGGTTATTTTAAAGTTCTCTTTGTCAATATCTTTTCTCTAAGGCAGTGCTTCTCAACCTTGGGGACACTGACATTGTGTGAAGGCATTTCACATATTATAAAAGGATGGAGGTTTTGGAGATATTTTAATTTCAATAATTTAAGGAAGTTTTTGGAGGGAAGGAAGATAGATATGCAGCATGTATTGATAAGCTTCAGTGGGCATTGAAGAATATTTGCTTTTTTCACTTATTGGACTTTTCGAATTATCAGAAATTACTAAAACCTATAATCTATTTTTTACCCAGGATTTGCAGTGATCTTTTTAATATCTATGAAAACACATTAATCCCCTACTCATAATCACTTTGACAGATTCCCATTGCACCCTGGTTAAAACATAAAACCTTCTCATGATTTCCTACTCAAAATGCCTGATAGTCTCACCCCATTTACCTCTGTAATCTAATCAGTCTTGTCATCATTCTGAAGCAGCTACATTGATCTCGGTTACTTTAGGTAACTAAGGTCCACTTAGATTTAGAGATTTACATATGCTGTTCCTTTTGCCAGGAAAAAAAACAGCCTAACTGAAGCATTACTTCCTCCAGAACTTCTCTAACTACCTCTCTTTCCCCTAGATATTAATCATGTCTGGTCATTATAATTTTTTTATTTTGCCTTAGTTTTCTTTCAAAGCACTTTCATATTATGTAAATATAGCATAGTCATTTTTGTGGCTATTGTAAATACTTATTTCTTCTATAATGTTTTACAGTTTTATGAGGGCATGGATCACACATTTTCATTGAAAGCAATATTCTCAGTACCTACATGAAATGCCTAGCACAGACTAGGCAGTAACTGTATACTTAATAATGAATTAGTGACACTTAATAATGCTATATGTATTTTTAATGTTGTTAAGTACAATTTTGTGGTGACCCCTCTTTTTAATATATAAGTTTGTGGTTATATAAAGCTATAAAGTTTAATCACTAGAGGATTATTATATATAATGAAGAATAAGGAATATCTTGTAACATGTGTACATATGTATATACATATGTGTGTGTGTGTACATATATATCTGTATGTGTATGTTTGAGAGTTTTTCCTTTTGATTTTGAAATGAGCAAAAATCCTCCTATTTTAAACATTATGCAAAACCTTAGAACTCATTGGATTACAAGGTTTTTTGGTTTCTCAATTCTTTCTATCTCCCACTCCTCTCTCCAGAAACACACAAACTCACACACAGAGTTCTATGATCCTGATTTCCTTTCACAATGCTAATGTTGTTGCACATGGGATATTCTGTCTCTTGTATATACTATTATGAACAAAAATCTCAGAGAATTATCATTTTGAAACCCTATTTTGTCATGAATTGTTCAATAATTAAACCTACAGAGTATCTTTTTGGAACTATTAAGAGAAAGATGTTTCCATATTTATCACCAAATAACAAAGCTCATAGACAGACATGGGTCACATAAACCAAAAATTGCATACTATTTGAAAAGAACTATTTGCTGTTCCTTAATACAGTAAATTTCTATTAGGTTTGAAAAGCCAAAAATAAGCACTTCATCAAAGTCTTTGTTAACCTGTCTTAGTAAATTGATACTTTAACTCTAGATAATGGAAAAATACAACTCCATAATGCTCTTTAGTAATGCTCATCTAAGAATAGCTTCTCCAGGCCAAGAAGAGTGGCTCACACCTGTAATCCTAGCACCTGGGTAAGCTAAGCAGGGTAGATTGCTGAATCTCAGACCAGTTTCAGACCAGCCTGGGCAATATGAAGAAACCTTCTCTCTACAAAAAATACAAAAAAATTAGCGGGGCCTGGTGGCTGACACCTGTAGGCCCAGCTACTCAGGAGGCTGAGGTGGGAGGATTGCTTGAGTCTGAGAGGTTGAGGCTGCACCCTAGCCTGAGTGACAGAGTGAGACCCTGTCTCACACACACAAAAAAAAGTTCCCCAAATTTTCCTTAAATCTCTACTAAATTACTTTGCTATTATTATAAAAATGTGGCAGGATATTAGTTTATTATTATCATCAATCAGTGTTATCCCCTCTGTAATTGCTTCTGCCTCTTGATTTTTCAATAACTTTCTGTTGTGGGAAAATAGTATAATGTTGAAAAATTAGACCTCCCTTGCCTTAAAGACCTCCCTTGCCATAATTCTTTTCACATAAACGTTTTACTGTTGTCCAAGTGTCTAAGTATTTACTGGGCCCTAAGTTTATGTATGTGTGTATGTAAGTAAAAATTTTGGAGATTAGTGGATACTTGGCATTCTTATTAGCATTTGTTTACATCTGTTAGGTAACTACCTAAGAAACTAGTTAATTTACACAGTTGTCATTGATGAACACCAGATTTAAACCCAAGATGATCTATTTATAAAATCCTTACTCTTATACTGCAGAGTATACTCTTTAATATATGGTTAATTTAATTGATACTGATCACCTTGGACTCACAACATCTCTTAAGGATATTTCTTTGAAAAAAATACTATATTAAGCATTCCATTATATTACATACATAAAATATTGCAGAAATCAAAATTTGTGGTATGACAGTAATAGCTAGAAATCTGTAATTTAGATCTGTCCATGGTAATCCTATATGGTTCATAGACTAATACCTAAAGACAAATCCAACTCAAGTAAGGCATTGAATTATTGCACAAAAGTAGATTTTTTCTTATGGGGAAAATATGCTGATGCTTGTGGAATGTATAACTGTTTAATGTAAAAATTCGCCTTTCTGTCACATTTTGAGAAAAATCCTGGTTTTGTGTGCCACCATCATAATGGCCTCACTTTAGAACAATGATGTTTTTTGCCCTCAAATATATTCCATTACTGTCATTTGGAATCAGCCCAGAGCTAGAATGAGTTGCCAAAAGCACATCTGAAAGGTAAGCTCCCTGAGAGAAGGGATCTTTTTATTCTTAATAATGACTTCACTTCCCCCCTTACTTCCCAAGGTCAAGTACCGAAATGGAATAAAGTTTTATGCAACAAATATTTCTTGATTCAATAAACAACTACAATAATATCATCTCTAAAACTGAATTAGTTTATGATTAAAAGGTGCATTTTAAAAAATATAACTGTTTTATCCTCTTCTAAAATAGTAGTCAAATTTCAAATTTCTTTTTTTGCTCAAGCCCTTGTAAGTCTTATAATAAATCACTAGATTAAAAAGTCCTTTTATAAACTCAAACAATTCAAAAAGGAAGAAACAAATAACATCATTAAAAAGTGGGCAAAGGACATGAACAACACTATTCAAAAGAAGACATAGAAGTTGCCAACAAACATGAAAAAATGTTCAACATCCCCAATCATTAGAGAAATGCAAATTAAAATCACAATAAGATACTATATCAGAGCAGTCAAAATGACTATGATCAAAAGTCAAAGAGCAATAGATATTGCCAAGAATAAGGAGAAAAGGGAAAATTTATTCTGTTGGTGGGAGTGCAAATTAGTAAAACCTCTATGGAAAACAGTATGGAGACGTCTCAAAGAACTACAATGAAAACTGTCAGTCAACCCCGCAATCCCCCTGCTGGTATCTACCCAAAAAAAGAAACTGTTTTAGCAAAAAGACACCTGCGGGGCCAGGCACAGTGGCTCCGACCTGTAAGCCCAGCCCTCAGGGTGGCCAGGGTAGGAAGATCACTTGAGCCGCAGAGTTTTGAGGACATAGTGAGCTGTGATTACACCACTATATTCTAGCCTGAGAGACATGGCAACATTGTGTCTCTTTAAACAGAGAGAGACACCTACACGCATATGTTTATGCAGAACTATTCACAATAGCAAAGTCAAGAAATCAACCTAAATATCCATCAGCAGATGATTGGATTAAAGAAAATGTCACTTATATACACCATGGAATACTACACAGCCATAAGAAGAATGAAATCATGCCTTTTGCAGCAACATGGATGGAGTTAGATGCCATTATCCTAAGTGAAATAACTCAGAAACAGAAATTCAAATACTTCATGTTCTCACTTGTAAGTGGCAACCTAACATAGGGTACACATGGACATACAGAGGGAAATAATAGACAATAGAGACTACAAAAGCAGGGAGTGTGGGAGGGCAGTGAGAGCTGAAAAATTACTTTGGTTACAATGTTCACTATTCAGGTAATGGGTGCACTAAAAGCCCAGATTTCACCACTACACAATATATCCTTGCAACAAAACGGCACTTGTACCACCTGAATCTATAAAAATGAAAAATAAAAGTTCTTATTATAAAATGTTGGCATAGTATTTATATATACCATAAAATGAGTTAGCTACATGTTTGTAGATTGATTAAATAATTGTTCTGGAGTCATTCGTAATTGTTCACAAAGAGAAATCAGTGCCTCATATTCTTTATTATAAATGAGGATAACAATAGTGTTTATTTCATAATGTTATTAAGATTCATTAACACATGTTAAATTGTCATGCATGTAAAACAGAATCTGACACACACACAAAGTAAATATTAACTATGAAGTGGAAAAGGAGGAGGAGGAGAAGGTTGATAATGATATAGAAATCAATCACAATTTGGCTTTTTTGGTTTGCTTGTTTTTAATATTCATAATAGAAGAAATCCCTACCTAACTAGCACTGAGCATAGATACTCAATTGTCTTTGTGTCACCTGGCCTTATCAGGCTACCAAAGCATTTCCCTTCATCCTGTAAGGTCTATCCAGGAGAGACAAGGGATTTTGACCATGTTCTTAATTCATGAGGTTTCCATAGGGTTTCTGGATTCAGTGTCACACTGATAGGAAGAGTGAAGGGGAACAATTGGAGGTTGCATAGTCATTTCTGTTCTGGAAACCCCATCATCTTCTCTATGAAATATTTGCTTCTGTTTGTTTATTTATACTAATATTTTAGAATGAAAACAATAGCAAGCCATAGTATTTTATTTTTATACTTTTTGAAACTGTCTCAGTTCATGATCTCTAAATAGTGGAGCCTATCTCCGGGGGATGAAATCTGCCCCAGTATAGACAGATATACTCTAACAAAATGAGATATTCTTATCCTTTTAGTTCCTGAATTTCTTCAGATGAACTGAAGGTGAATTTCATTTTATCTCACTATAAATTACTATTAAGAATGAGTAATATATTAATAAGTTTCCTGTATAATAGCTCAATGGACTAATATCATGTGGCTACAGCAGAGACCTGATTTTTAGTCATGGTGTACATTGTCACTGGGTCATTCAGTATCCAAATAATCTTTCACTCTAAGGCTTATCTTCATCTTAGCATCCAATATGATACAATGCTTGTTTGGCTTAATTCACCAGCTATCATCTGGGTTTTCCTGTTATAAAGCAATCTAAAGGGATTGCAGTAAATGAAGCCAATTAAGTCAACCACTCAAGCAAGGAACACATAGTGTTGTCAGACTCTGTTCAGTCAATAATATGTTCAGTTATCATGTCTTTATTTCTATAGCTATTGAAGGAATTTCTAAGTACATATATCACTTATGTTTAAGATTTTTTTCCTGAATCTTGGAGCTATGTCAATATAATGGATCACTGTTATTGTTACGTTTTAAGTAGTAATAATAATATGTTGCTTACACTGAACCATGCAACAAATTAACATGGTACTCTTGGCATTGTTAACACTTCATTTGAGTTTTAATGAAGAGGAGATAACTAATTTAATTTTGGCATTTAACACTGTACTATGAGAATGAAGTGAAAGTTTTTATCATGAGAAGAACAATTTTTTTCATAATTCTTTTTTAATGTGCTTTGTGTGTCTTAAAAATTCAGTTTTCATCTTTCTAAATGGGATTGATGCAGATAAATGAAGAAAAGATAAACATTTCCCATTGTGTGTTCTTTGTAACTGATTGTTTTCTCACTTTTATTTTTTTTAAATCATTGAGTATGTGCTAAATGCTTTGGATTGCAATTCAAATTCATTCTTTAGGGGTTCAACACATTTATTTCCTTTTAAAATAAAAATAGAAACAATGTAACTGAAAATTAAATCACCAACAGATGAAGATCTTTTCTTTCCTACCCATTATATTGACAGTTTCATCAGTGCCACTTACATGACATAGAAAATAATACCCCACTTTTATTGAGATTACTATTTCCATAATGTCAAATATTTAGAACATTTAAATACATGAAAGCAATAAACTTAAGCCACTTAATCATTTTCTAAAAGTATACAATTTCCTTAAAGAAAAGTCCTTCAGGCTGCCTTTCAGAGCTTGTGCCTGCTAATTTTAGACATCATTTGGACAAGATGTTTTTAGTTGCTATTAAAATTCACAAATTAGAAGTCTCTCTGTGCACGTGTATTAGTGTGTATATGGTTGTGAGTGTTTCAAAGGCAAGATGTGCTGAAGCCTTGTCAAGGGCAGAAGAAACTGAAGAAGTAGATAATACAGCTAGTGCAAAGGGAACATGACTCATGTCTTCAAAGAGAGTAGTAGGAAATGAGATGAGAGCAGTAATGGGGAACCAAGTCATATAAG
This sequence comes from Homo sapiens, assembly GCF_000001405.40. Taxonomy (NCBI): domain Eukaryota; kingdom Metazoa; phylum Chordata; class Mammalia; order Primates; family Hominidae; genus Homo; species Homo sapiens. Next base: position 83,922,881 of record NC_000013.11, read on the forward strand.
GCTTTGTAGGCTATGGTAAGAGCCAACAGGGAGCTATTGGAGTGTTTTGAGCTGAGAAATGACATGATCTGACTTAAACTTTAAAATAAACATTCTGGCTTGTCTGCGAACAGACTGCAGTGAGCATGAGAGGCTGAGAGACAAGTTAGCAGGCATTACAGTAAGCCAGATGATATATGATGTTTGTGTGGACCTGAGGGGTAGCAGTAAGGGTGATATAAAGAGCTGGATACAATTTTGAAGTTAGAGCCAAGTGATGCTGGTAATAATGGTCCTGAGTCATTACTTGATTACTTGAAGGTTAAATTGTATTCAGTACTTACTATTTGATAGGAAAGAGAATGTACTATCCATTTTGGAAACATTGCCATGAAAATGACAAAAACAAGTCACATTATGTTTTAAATTTTAAAGGGTAGATTTCTATTCTGGGATAAATCACTTAACATGAATTAGCACATAATATGACAATCATAGGAAGAGAATTCACCCCTCTCCTGCAAAAAACTAATATCCCTAACAATAAGCTCCTGAAACACAGCCACTTTCCCTGCATTCAAGTCTTATTTTTTATTGTACATTTGGTTCAGTAAATTCTGATAGTAAGACTTCACAGAAACTGCACTGATACGGAATAACCACAAGGGAAATGTCTAGAAAAAAATTTTAAAAGCTACCCTGAAGCAGGAGTACAAATCATAGACTAAAGGGTGATTGATTATTGGCTATAGGGTGAAAAAGAAAATTTAGACTGAAGAGGCCAGGCATGTTGCCTCATGTCTGTAATCCTAGCATTTTGGAAGGCCAAGGTGGGCAGATCACTTGAGTCCAGGAGTTTGAGACCAGCCTGGCCAACATGGCAAAACCCTATCTCCACTAAAACTACAAAGAATGAGCTGGGCGTGGTGGTGTGCCCCTGTAGCCCCACCTACTCTGGAGGCTGAGTTGGGAGAATCTCTTGAGCCTGGGAGGTGAAGGTTGCAGTGAGCCAAGAGCTCACCAGAACTGCACTCCAGCCTGGGCAACAGAGTGAGACCCTGTCTCAAAAAAAAAAAAAAAAAAAAAAAAAAAGCCACCCAAAAAAAGAAAGAAAAAGGAAAAAGAGGGAAAAAAAAGAATTAGATTACAGAAAGGGATATCTAGTTGGAAAGCAATACAATAATCTATGTGGGGAATAATGAAGGCATATATTTTCTAAGTATTGCTAGTATTGATGGTAGCCAAATTTTATTTTACTACAGGATCTAATGAATGTTTTTTCAAGGCCAATGTTGAAACACATTTGATATAATAATAAAATAAATAGTGTGAGTTGTTCTGTTAACCTATATTTCACAAAGTTGAGTAATAGATTTTATAGTCTTAATATTAACAAATTATAAAATTCACAATGCATATTAAAGCATGTAAGGCTATTTATCAAGATACCCAAGAGCTCAAATTACAACAAAATCAGTAGTAAATGATTACTTTATGCCAAGCATTATGCTGGGTCCTATGAGGCAATATACAAAAAGTATGAAATGTTACTTCAGCAGAGAGAATTTAGAAATATACACATAAGGTTATACATCAACACAGTGAGGGGTTATGATAATAAATATTAAATCTGACAGGAAGATTCTAGGAAACCACTCCAAAGATTTCTAAGGGGATCTTTGTGTGCAAAGTATGAAATATACATTACCATTTTAACCTGCCTTCTAAACTCCAGCTCTTTATTGCCAGTTCGTGCTGGCTTTATACCAACTCCATTATACAAAACTCCAATATTCTAAAATGAATTCATTTATTTCTCTATAAGGTGCTTCTTTTCTTTGTATTTTTTCTGTCAATGAAACTCTTTACTTGCTTATCTCAGAGGTTAGACATATTAAAGTTCACTTTACTTCATACATTTATTTCTCATTTTCCATATCTAATCACCTGCTAAATTCTATCAATTCTCTTACCACTACATCTTGAAAATTATCTGCCATTCCCTTCTAAAGTTTCCTCTTCTTAATATCCTGGTTCAGGTTTTCATAGTCTACTTTATTTGTTGCAATATCTATCCAACTATCCAACTCCAGGTGTTTGGATTCTAATCTTTTTAATCCATTCTTCACACTGCCATCCAAGTTTTCTTCATAAAAACAGAAAATTCCATAATTTTTCTTTACAAAAACCATCTGAGGAGCCTCACTATCTACAAAATACTGTTCAAATTCTTTAGAATATCATGCAAATATCTCAATTACTTGAATCTAAATTACCTCTCCCTTTTCAACATTTCAACAAAATACTTTGCATTTTTATCACATTATCACTTGCATCAATTATTTCTGAAATTCATGAGTTAATCACACCAGTCAACTCACTACCCTGCAAATATTCCCTAAACTTTACATCCCCTGTGCCTCTTTTTTATATGATTCTCTTGGACAGCAATGCCATCAAACTCATTTATTATGAATAAAATACCAGTTATAATTTGTCTTTGATTGACTTCAATTTTGGAAAAGAAATTATGGATTCTAGAACTTTTTAAACAAGAGTTTATATTGGCAATCCTGGGGACTTACGTTTGTGGCATTGTCCAATAAAATTTTTGTTTTAATAAAAATTTGTATTTAAAATATCAGTAATGAAAAGTGAACAAAATAAAACTACAGAGTTTGATGAATTTGGGCTTGTGACTACAATCATGAATACAGGACCTAGATAAAGAAATGTAACATTGTCAGTAACCAAAATGCCCTGCCCCTCCCAAGACTATATACTCAACCAAAGATAACCACCAGCTTAACTTCCACAACCATATGTATTAATACGTGTGATCTTCTTTTACTTTAGATAATAGAACTATTACAATAACACTCTTTTGTGACTACCTTGGTTCACTCAGCATTTTATTTTAGAAACTCTCTACTGTGGCATGTAATTGTAGCATGTTAATTGTCTCTGCTGTATAGTTTATTCATTCATTGAATGGATAAGGTACAGCATAATTACCCATTCCGATGTTGAGAAATACTTGTGTTTTTCACAATATTTGGCTAATGTTTATAGTTTTGTAAATATCTTATAACTGTATTTGGTGAACATAGAGATGCATTTCCATGTGTTTTCTGCTCATGATTAGAATTACTGGGTCAAGGAAGTAGTAACTTAGTGTTAATAGATTCTGTCAAACAGTTTGCCAAAATGCCTACACCAACTTAATCTCTCACAAACAGAATATGAGAATTTGAATTGCTCCACATACCTACCAATACTTGACATTTTTGTCTTTCTTAGCTTAGGTATTCTACTGAGTATGTCAGGATGTTAATTTTAGGTTTTTAATTTGCTTTTCCCTGATGATTAATGAAGTTGTACACACTTTCTAATATTTGTTGGTCACTTGGATAACTTCTGTTGTCAAGTGCTTTTTCAAGTCTTTTCCTTTTTTTTTTCTATTTTCCTGGTTGAGCTATTTACTATTTATTTAGAAGAGTTCTTTATATAATCAGAAACCTTTGTCAGCTGTATGTGCTGCCAATGTCTTCTCCCACAACGTGGGTTGCCTTTTCACATTCTTACTGATAACTTTTGATAAAAAGATGTTCTTACCATTAGTAAAACTTATTGTCTCTCCTTTGAGTACTGATTTTGAATATCTTTTAAGAAATCTCTGCCTTCTCCCAAATTATGAAGATATTCTTATATGTTACCTTATAAACTTTATTATTTTACTTTCCATATGTAAATTTATAAATCATCTGAAATTGTTTTTGTCAAAGGAATGAGAAAACAAAATTCTTACTTAAAAAAATAGCCCATCCACAAAGTCTTACTGATTGATAATACATTCGTTCATTCTTTTCCCATTGCACTGCAGTATTGAATTTCTGTGTTTCTCTGAGAATGTTTTGAGCTCTAAATTTTTTTCCAATGGTATTGAAGAATTACAGACTAATTTAAATTTGAAAATCATATTATATTTATTCTAAAGTATTCGACAATTAACTAGAATTCAATATTCAATACTCCTTTTGTAAACTATATATTTTGATTATACATAAAAATTAAAGATGGCACCAGTTTTTTCTTAACTCACTTGTAGTGCTATTTTGTTCTCTAATAGTTAAAATTTTGTTTTTAGTACTTCATCTAACATCTAAATATTCATGTTTTCTATCTATCTATCTATCATATAAATCCAATCTCACTAAATTACTTCTCTTTATTCATAATATTGTATCCTACTTGGGTTGCTCAGTAGTCTTTTTCAACATGTGATTGCTCAATCCTAATTTTCTGTGGCTATTCTCAAGTAATTCCTCCTTTACTCAAATTTGTTTCCACTCTTTCTGTATCTAGATCTACCAATTCAGCCTCATTATTATATCTTCCAAATGAGCTTAGATCATAATTTCAAAAGACACAATTCCAAATGCCATAATCTCAAATGTTGGAATCCCACAAGATCAAAATCTCTAAAGTCTGAAATCCTTTACCTCTAAATGAATCCCCAAAACATAATGACATATTTGGAATTAGATGAAATCAAGGCTTCTAAAAGTGAATTTTAAGGTATTACTCATAGTTTGCTTTTCCATTCAGCCCAATGCATTTGGCAGAACATTCCAACGAGTAGATTGGACATGTGATATGGCAATGACAAAACTTTCGTTTAAAAATGTGTTATTTACTTGCATTGATATTCCTTCTGGCCAATAAAGTTTCAAGTAAATAACTAAAGCTACCTTTACATGATGAAACCAGGGAAGTCACTGACTGGTTCAAAAATAATTATAGGCATAGTAGGATAAGAAGATGCTTATGAAATGGTGTTGCTGTTCAGTCACCAATACTGTTTCCGCCAAATTTGTAGTTTGTATATAAATGCATGCAGAATGGATTTCCACATACCCAAAACAGCAGATAAACATGGCATAGACAATGGGAACATTTAACAGGGAATGCTGATGTTGGTCTCTATCAACCTATAGAATAATTCCAGAAAGATCAGTGTCACGTAGAAATTAAATGTGACTGTATTCTCCAAGGTCAGCCATGTCCTAAAAGAAAAGGAAAAAAAAAACCAGTTATTTCTTGTGCTACAAAGTTTCAAAATATAGTTAATAATCATGATAATCAGCCAACTTTTATGGATTGCCTATAATCTATACCTGTAATATACTATTTATATGTCAAATTTCCTTTTTAGTTTTCTTAGTTTTTTTTTTTTTAGTTTTGTATTTGCTTTTTTTTAACTATTTTAAATTGGTAGCATTATTGTTATAATTTGCTATATTACGTATTTCATCTTCACATTACTTCCAATACTGGAAGCATTTCTTATAGAGAATTTGAGAGAGTTCTAGTTCATTTTATGCAATCCGTTTTGCAAATTAAACTCCACAAAAGTGCATTATTACAAGGTTGACTCTGTGTAAGCACTGAGTGTATGCTTAAGCACTGAAACTTTCTCAATAAATCAATACATGGCCTTTTTGTACATCTGCATTTGTGAAAGATAAAATTTTTCAACATCTTGGCTATTTGGGCTACTATATATGTGGTGGTAATCCATCATGGTTTTTGATCAATCTAATCAAAAGACTTAGATTGTTCATCATGGTATTATTGATGACTGCAGGTCTAAAGCTGAGTACACACAATTATCAACACCAATCATAGTTATATGTGTTTGTCAATGTCTATTTTTGACTTTTTTATGAGTATGGTTCATCTGCTCATGATTTTTATACCTGTGCAACTATGTTATTATTGTCTATTTTATTGTGTAAAGTGGCCTATAACGTATTTTGTCATGGTTTTACATGTTTCTCAAATCTCCTTTTAAAAAGGAATATAAATATTTTTAAATAAACTCTTAATTATTTTTTTCTACGGGGATTTCGATCTTTCAGGATTTCAACATTCAGGATTATGGTGGTTAGGATTGTGTTTTTGGTATTATGATCGGCTCCTTTCAAAATCTGACTTAAGATGCATTTCTCTTAGAAATACTCTTTTAGATAATCACACCTATTGTTGCAGTAGGTAGCTAGTCAGACATGAGCAGGGCAAGGCAGCCTGCCTTCACCCACAAACACACCAGGAATGTTAGGCGACCATCAGGTAATGGTCAGATGGTTGTTAACTGTCTTTCTAAAATAATGATGGGTTGCAGTCAGCACCAGGGAAAGACAGTCTCCCAGTAAACGGAAACACCTGAAACTGGTGATCAGCAGCTTCCTGACAGGATCTCAGGAATTGGGCGAGCGGGCTCAAACATGTACATTAAGAGGCAAATGGTGGGCTTTAACTGGTATGTGACCCTGTAGGGACATTTGACTGGTAAGGGAAGAAAACCTCAAATGAGCATGCATGCAGCTCCAGTAAACACACTGCACATGTGGCCTCTTCCAGGTGCTGGCAGGGCACTGAACGCACAGACAGCCTGCCCCAAGGGAAGAATTAGGGGGAGAAGGACTGCAAGACCCCAGAAGCATGCCAACAAGTTAAAACCCCAAGTCAAAAGATTAACCGCACACTTGATCTCTCAAGTCGCCCACTTGGCCCTCTTCCAAATGTACTTCCTTCATTCCTGCTCTAGAGCTTTTTAATAAACTTTCACTCCTGCTCTAATACTTGCCTCAGTCTCTGCTTCTGCCTTATGCTCCTCGTTAAATTCTTTCTTCTGAGGAGGCAAGAACTGAGGTTGCTGCAGATCCATATAGATTTGCCAATGGTAAGACTATAAACTTAATTATTAAGTTATAAATTGTTTCCTGTTCATATATTACTGTATTTTATAGAGCATAAACCACATATGCTTTTTACATTTTCCAGTTTTCATCTAGACTATTCCTCTAATATTTAACCCTCTTTCTTTTCCTTTTTTGCTATATAAATTCTACCTAGTTAAGTCACCCTTTGTTATTTATCAATACCTGGACATTACACTGTGAGCCTTTACAGTAAAAGACCTCTTTAAAAATATTCTCTATGCATTTGGGTTACATAACATGTATATTTAAAGAAAACATTTACAACATCAGAATATATTAAACCTTTAAAGAGCATTTATTTAAAAATTTCATTATGAATCTTAAATACCTGTATGTCGTAATGGCCACATACATTTGAACTATTGGCCTACAGTTTCTATATTATATTGAACAGTGTCCTTGATTTTTGTTCTTCCATTTTCTAGTTTAATTTGTAGTTAAAAACAGTGCACTTTTCAGGGAGTACATTATATAGGTTGAAATATGAAAAATACAGCTGAACCACAAAGTTCTAACAGCAAAAACTACTCATTATAAAGTCTGCCCAACTATTGATTCCCAAAGAAAACCATAACAACCCAAGTTCTTCCTGCCTACTGTATGATAAAAAGACCACAGCATTGTAGTAGAGAAAGAACTTAATAGACACAAGGCCAGTCACACTGAGGAAATGGAGTTAGTATTCAAATCATCTTTTCCAAAGCTCATGGGTTAGGTAAGGGTTTTGAAAAGGCAGTTTGAGGGAAGATGTGGGGGTGACTAGATTTGCTGTTGATTGGCTAGGACAGAGATGGAATCAAAAGGGGTAGAAACTGTTCTGCATGCTGAATTGCTTCTGGGTGGAGCCATAGGAGTGGAGTTGGCAGGTCCAGGTGGGCCCAGGTGGAGCCATGGATGTCAGACATGCAAAACAAAAAACAAAAAAACCTGAAAATATATCTCCAAGTGCCAGTCACCAATAGTGATGCTATCAGCAGGAATAATTGGGAAAGTTGCCTATCTTATAACCTCTGGAATAATGGCTGATAATTGTTTATGTCTAAGCCTTGGCAGGACTCAGTCTCCTCTTCCCGCTCCCCATCCCCCAGCCTGATGGTTTCCCATTAGTTTTATAAAAGCTGTTGAGTTTGCAGGGAGGCCTATCATCATTTAAACTATAGCCTAAATGTCTCTCAAGTTAGCTCTGCCCAAAAGCCCAGGAATAATTAAAGGAAAGGCAAGATGTGAGGTGAGTTAGGTCAGATCTCTTTCAGTGTCATAATTTTTTCATTGATACAATTTTTGTGAAGGTTGTTTCAAAACTCTAGTCTTCCAAATGAGCCAAAGCGAAGTCTTAATAATATTCAAAGAAACCTTCTCTATGGTTTATCTGACCTGACTTGTAAAAATGAGAAATAGAAGTGTTTTAGCTCTTTAGATTTTTCTCAAAGTGTTACAGGAAAGGAGTCCTGATCCAGACCCCAGGAGAGGGTTCTTGGATCTCGCACAAGAAAGGATTCAGAGCAAGTCCATAGAGTAAAGTGAAAGCAAGTTGATAAAGTAAAGGAATAAAGGAATGGCAACTCCATAGAGCAGCTCCGAGGGCTGCTGGTTGCCCATTTTTATGGTTATTTCTTGATGATATGCTAAACAAGGGGTGTATTATTCATGCCTCCCCATTTTAGACATATAGGGTAACTTCCTGACATTGCCATGGCATTTGTAAAGTGTCATGGCACTGGTGAGAGTGTAGCAGTGAGGACGGCCAGAGGTTATTCTCATCGCCATTTTGGTTTTGGTGGGATTTAGCCAACTTCTTTACTGCAACCTGTTTTATCAGCCTGTCTTATCAGCCTTTACTGCACCCTGTTTTATGACCTGTATCTTGTGCTGACCTTGTATCTCATCTTGTGACTTAGAATGCCTTAACCATCTGAAAATGTAGCCCAGTAGGTTTTAGCCTCATTTTACCCAGCTACTATTCAAGATGAAGTTGCTCTGGTTCACACGCCTCTGACAAAAAAACATTGTTCATATTATGCTTCTATTTCATGGATTGCAAACACCACTTCTTGGTACATGCTACCAACAAACATAGAATACAGTGATGACTTAAGATGATGTTGCAGCTATTATACTGGCAGATTTTGCTATTGAAAATAAAACGATATGAAGCTTTTTCAGTTTCTTTTTAATTTCCCCTGAATAGCTGCAGTACTCACAGACACACTGGATGCTACTCAAATCCTTTATATTTCTAGGTGGTATTTTGTGGCCAGCTAAATTTCAAATGGAGTGTTTTAGGCATCTCAATATCTAGTTTAACACAGCTAATGTGATTAATGATAAAAATGTATTTATTTCTGATGAATGTCACTTCGATATACTAGCTACACAGAACATGTAGCTAGTGATTCATTTCAAATGCATTTTTTTCTATATAGAGTATAGAAATGAAACTATGCAAACATAAATGTAGAGATTGAAAATAAAAGTAAATGGTAGAAATAAAAAAAGCAGCAACAAAAATAAATAATCCTTTTGATGACCTATCAGTAGGCTAGACATAGCTGAGAAAAAAATCAGTGAACTTGAAAATATGTATATGTCAACAGAAACGTACAAAATTGAAATACAAAGAAAAAAATAGAGAAAAGAACATCCAAGAACTGTGGTACAATTTCAAAAGGCATAACATACCCGTAATCGACATACCAGAAAGAAAAGACAAAGACAACAAAGAGAATAAATATTTGAAGTGACAATGGCTGAGAATTTTCCAAAAATAGTAACAGATGGCAAACTACATATCCAGAAAGATCAAAGAACACTGAGTCGTATAAACATTAAATACTAAAACAAACAGATAAACAAAAATACACCCAGGCCTATCATATTCATACTGCAGAAAACCAAAGACAAGGGAAAATCTTGAAAGCAGTTAGACAAATTAAGAATATGATATTTTCTGTGGCATAGTAGATAAAATTTTGATGAGATAAAGAGAAATCAAAGAGAATTTCTACCTAGAACTTGAATATTTGATCTACATTTTAGCATTTTTTGTATCTATCCAAACTATATTTTATAATCTAGTTTAAGAGATGAATGATTATATATTTTAGTATATATGTGACAACGTATTCCTAGAATACTTCTGTAGACTTTTAAAAAATTGTTAAGTGGCTTATTTGATTTTCTGTGCTATTATGTGGGAAAGATCATCAAACATTTTAGTCATAGTGAGATGTCCAAATTCTATCATTCTGAAAGGTTTCATTGAGTCTAGGCCTCTAAGTAAGTCACAGTAGAAAGGTGATCAGTTCTCAGCTGCTGCAGAAAGCTGCGGAAGAACTGGGGTCATCGAAGATAGGGTTCACTCTGCTCTGACAAACTACACTCAAAAGAATTTGTATTTGTCCTTTCCAAGAGCAGTGTAGAGCAGCTTATAGGATTAAAAGCCTGTCATATAATAAAAGAATATTTCAAAAGTGAAATCAACCCTTAATATCTGTAGAAAATCCTAGACAAGGCTTTCATTTATACTCCTTGGACATCCAACACCTGTACCAATCTTAAACTGTGGCTATGCAAAGTATAAAATCAGTAGTAATATATTTAAGCAAATCTAAAAATTCACATAATAATAATTAAATTTAGTTAAATTCAATTAAGAATAGCATATATGAGATTTTAAAATGCATTATTTTAAAATAAAAAAGCATGTCTACTTATTCACTCAAGAATCCCCTGCATTCCAGAAGCACTGGCAACTGTTCTATTTTGTTTCGTGCTAGTGAGGAGAAACAATCTCGGAAAGAAAGGCAGGACTCATTTGCTGAGAAGAGTCAAAGATAAAAGTTCTCTTTCAAAGCCTTCCTGTCTAAAGAAAAGAAAAAAAAAGGCTTCAGATCTTATTTTCAAGGAATCTTAATATATTAATTACAGTCATTAAGAATAAAAAAACTTAGAATCTCACACCTTGTCAAGCTGAAAGGTAGTGAAACAAAGATCTACCATTTACTGGTTTGACCTTAAATTATGCTACATTCTAGATTGAAAAATAAAATATAGACAGCTTTAAAAACTATTTGAGTTTCAGTTTCTGTCATGAAAAAAAATATTGGGATAGCAGTTTTATGTGATGTAAGGAGACTAGACCATTTCTAAAAAGTTCTAAGATCAGAGATTCCAAATTTTGTTCTTTATATTGACTAAATTTTTAAAAGGTATTGTTTTAAAGCACACTATAATTTCAAATACATTGTGAAAGTTATTGGGGGAAATAATTATAAGATATTTGTACTATTAAGGTGCTAACCCATGAACTAAATTAATATAAAATGAAAGAATTAGAAAATATTAAAATACTGAATATGTCCATAGTATTTGAACTTCAATAAGCTTTTAAAGATTGCAGTGTTCTTTATAGGTATGACAATAAGAGAAGACATGGATGTAGAAATGGAATATGAATTATGATTTTCTAGGTGGGTAGAGGCAGTGGGAGTAGATAAGGGAATCATGTTAACAAAGAAATGCAGTTAGCATAACAGGCGAGGGTTTCAGGAGTCATTGTTTTCTAATAATTTCTACTCATCTTTCAGAAGTCTTTGTTTCCTAAAAATTTCTATTTATTATTTTCCTACAAAAGATGATAGCTAAAATCTAAGAAAAATTTTAGGCTTTAAAAAATTTTAACCAATGAAAATCCAAAAGAGGCTGGGCGCAGTGGCTCACGCCTGTAATTTCAGCACTTTAGGAGGCCGAAGCAGGTGGCTCACTTGAGTACAGGAGTTCAAGACCAGCCTGGCCAACATGGTGAAACCCTGTCTCTACAAAAATACAAAAATTAGCCGGGCATGGTGGCAGGCACCTGTAATCCCAGCTGCTTGGGAGGCTGAGGTAGGAGAATCACTTGAACCTAGGAGGTGGAGGTTGCAGTAAGCCAAGATCGTGCCACTGCACTCCAGCCTGGGCAACAAGACAAAGACTCCATCTCCAAAAAAAAAAAAAGAAAATCCAAAATAAGTTAAAAAAAAAAAAAAGAAAATCCAAAATAAGTTTTGAAAATGGAATTATTTCCATTCTATATTTTCTCTATCTGGTATATAGCTAAACTACCCTTTATTTCAGGCATTGGCAGACTGTGTCCTGAATCCAGGCTTTCACCTCTTTTATGTGGGTGAAATCAAACGTTTTGGGGGGAAAAAAAAGAAGAAAAATACTTCATAACATAAAACTCATTTGAAAATCAAATTGTAATATCTGTAAGTGAAGTTTTATTGAAACAGCTATACTCAGACATTACATATTTTTGTGACTACTTTCATGCTTCAAAGACAGGGTTGTATAGTTGCTATCTAATTGTGAACCTAGCAAATATATGTTCATCCCTAAAACTTCAGTTGTCTTCTTATTAAAGACTTCCCTAATGTTAAAAGAAAATGTAGGTCTTTATTCAATATCATATTTCAATATCATATTATCCTATTATGCACATTTCTTATTACATTATAATTATCACTTAAATAACTGTACTACAGTGAGACTAATCCTGTTGAGGGTAATGTCCTTGAAAATATCAAAGTGATGATTATCAGTGGAGATGGCGAGATTATTCCTTAAGTGTGAAAAAGAAATTCCATATTGGTGAGAATACTGCTGCAATTCCAATCCTTGAGCTATTGGTTGCTATTATGGTCATAGAATTGGTGCCTGAAGAAGGGCATGGAGGAAGGCCTTCAAAGGTTTTGTTAGAGTAGGTGGATCTAGGCAGACATGAGCAGGGCAAGGAAGGGTCCCCCCCAGCCCCCAAGGAATGTCAGGCAACCATCAGGTGATGGTCAGGTGGTTGCTGAACTGTCTCTCTAAAATAATATTTGGTTGCAGCCAATGCCAGGGAAAGGCAGTCTCCCAATAGATAGAAAACACCTAAAGCTGATGATCAGCAGCTTCCAGATAAGATCTCAGGAGTTGGGCGAGTTGGCTCAAGAATGCAAACTAAGAGGCAAAATGGTGGAGTTTAACTGGAAAAAATGCCTCAAATGAGCACATGCACAACTTCAGTAAACACACTAGGCATGCAGTCTCTCCTAAGTGCCGGCAGTCCACTGTGCATGTGGCAGCCTGCCCCAAAGAAGAATCGGGAGAAGAAGCACAAACCCTGGAATTATGCCAATGTATAAAACCCCAAGTCAAGGGTCGAATGAGCCACTTGGCTCTCTCAAGTTGTCTGCTTGCTTGGCCCTCTTCCAAGTGTACTTTTTTTTTTTTTTTTTTTGAGACGGAGTGTCACTCTTGTTGCACAGGCTACAGTGCAATGGCATGATCTCGGCTCACTGCAACCTCCACCTCCCGGGTTCAAGCGATTCTTCTTCCTCAGCCTCCAGAATAGCTGGGATTACAGGCATGCGCCACCATGCCGGGCTAATTTTTTGTATTTTTAGTAGAGATAGGGTTTCTCCATGTTGGTCAGGCTGGTCTCAAACTCCTGACCTCAGGTGATCTGTGCTCCTCGGCCTCCCAAAGTGCTGGGATTACAGGCGTGAGCCACCGCGCCTGGCCCAAGTGTACTTTACTTCCTTTCATTCCTGCTCTAAAATTTTTTAATAAACTCTCACTCCTTCTAAAAAACTTGCCACAGTCTCTCACTCTTTCTTATACCCCTCAAATGGATTCTTTCCTTCGAGGAGGAGGCAAGAATCGATCTGCTACAGACCTGTACTGTTTCGCCACTGTTAACAGTTTTATTAATGCATCAGGAGTTGTTAGGCTGTTTCTACACAGTCATTCATGAGGATATTGACATTACGCCAGAATGCTGAAATTACTTAAGGATGGAGAGAAAAACTGAGATGCAGGTGCCTGCAAGCCTCCAGGATTGTGTGGGATGTGAAAGTGAACAGAGGTCTTTAGAGGGTGGGGGCTGAGAAGTTCTCTATCTGCATTATTGTCTCCACACATTACCCAATGCAAACTCTATTCTATCCTCCTACTTTCACATCTGGAATTAGTGCAATTGAGCCAGTTGTGTCTGTCAAAAATATAAAGTATGAGCTAAGAAGCAATTTTTCCATGAAGGCAGAAAAGCAGAAATTTTAGTCCAGCTTCCAGAGATATCTTCCTAATTAAGCGAATATAGTAATATTGCTTCCAGTTTTAAAATCTTCATTGGCCTTTTATTGCCTAAAGATAAAGCTCATATTCAAGGTCTTCCCAGTCCTATTCTGCCCCTGGTCTAGTTTTATCTGTCTATGTCCATCCTCTTCTCCTCTAAGCACAATGTGCTCTTCTTAATGAAATCTGCTCGTCATTTTTCACTCTTTTCCTCCTGTTTCCCTCAGTCAATGCTGCTTTCTCTCCCTGGAAATTGCCCTCTTCCCTGACCCACATGATAAGCCCCTACTCACATTCAAAAGTCAGCTCAAATGCGTATTCCTCATTGAAACTTTGTGTGAATAGCCTCACTCAGTGTTTTCATAGTACTTGGTTTATACCTCTACTCACCATATTTTATTTACAATAATTTGTTCACACCTGCCTCTCATTTTATTGTGAGCTCTCTGAGGGAGGGTGTCATATTTTATTCAGCTTTTTCTCTTCAAGATCAAGCATAGAACCTGGCACATGGTTCACATCAATAAATACTGACTGTACAAAAATGGAAATTGTACTGTTTCCTTATAAAATGAAGTTTTAATGTAAGTGCTCTGCTTAACCAGGTAGGTATTTCTAAAAGTAGAGCTCCTAAACTTGTATATTCCCTTGTTATGCCCTTTTGACTTTTCTAAGATAGCTTTTCAATTTTTGTTATTTGTTGTTGGTTCTTCTTTTAATTTTTTTAATCATATGCTAGCAATAGCTTGGAAGGAAAAGAATGTGTTATGGATATTCACATACATACATAGACACATATAGGTACACATACACATGCTAAGTATTCACTTAGTACTTACTCTTTGCTCTTTTCAGGATTTCTTTAAGTCATTTAGATTACAAAATTTACATCCTCTAAGAAACTGGTAGGGAAAGATAATCTCCCTTTTCTTGACTTCATAAATAAATCTTTTTCATTCATAAAATAACTAGCATAGTTTAAGTTATTTTCATATAAGTGCGTTATTACCACATTTTTGTTATTTTCTATTACCTTACAGCTAATGCAAACATCTGGTCAGATTGTTATGTATGTAATTATTAACATTCATTGAATTATAAAGGAAATTATTGCATATCAAAGGGGTATGCTGAATAAGGAAATCTAAATTTAAAAATGCATTCATTTGGCTTGTCTTGGAGCACAAAAACATAGTTTTCATGAATAAAATATTCTAGAGAAGTGAAATTTTAAAACATCATACTTTTCTCATTTTGTTTTTATTCCAAACACTTTTCCTGGGCTTTTGGTGGAAACTATAATTCCAGTGACAAAACACATTCTTCTGTTTGTATTTTAAAGCCAACAAAAATTTATTCAAACAGGCATCTAAAATTCTATTATCAAAACTGGGGCAATATTGAGAAGTTAGAAACATGACTTCTAAATTCTAATCCAAAATCTTCACTTACAAAAGGTATGATCTTAAACAATTTTCTGAACTTCTGAAAGTTTTTCATTTTTGTTTGATAAATTGGCATCACTGGTATTACCTCTGTTACACGGTTGTTGCTTAGTAAGGTAATGCCTAAGAGCATAAGTCAATAGGACAGGCAGGCCATATAAATGAGTTCAACAGGACTCAAAACATATTAGGGATGTGTGAGGACTGGGACTATGCTGATTTAAAGAACTTGAAGTTTGAATTTAATTTATAAGTTAATTTATTATTCCTAGTATTATTATAGTTTTCATGTCAATCACTAGATTCACTGCAACCCAGTATTAAATAGTAATGCATTTATTGTGTTGGTTGGGTTGTGTTATATTGTGCTTTGGCTTTTTCTGGTTACTAAACAGTTAAAGAAAATAGGTCATAGGGCATGTTGGGTTAAAAATTAAAGAAAGGTAATATTATATATATATTTTCTCATAATTCAAAAACATAAACCAAGAAATTATTTCAATACATATATTCAAATAAGTAAAATAATTCATATAGGATTATATAATGTACATTAAAAATTAAAAAAAAAAACCTTTAAATTTTAGGTTAGGCAAAGGTGAAAAAGTAACCTAAGTGAACCCTAAGTGTTTTTGGTTTGCTACCTAAACAAACTATTACTACTTGAATAAACCATTTACCTGTTCATACTAAGTGTATGATTAAATAACTTACAATATGCATCTGTGAAGAGGAAAATATGAATACGCGATGGGACCTCTCAGAGTCACTGACAACACACCAGCAAAAATATGTGCAACCACACTTATCTCACAGAACTAACAACTGTTCTTCAACCAGATGGAATGAAAGTCAGAGAAGAAACTGTTTAGAGCTGATTGAAAGCTGGCTTAGGTACATGTTGATAATATTTCTACCAGGCTAAAAGAGGCATTTCCCCTTCAAAAACACTGTCAGGGACTGGCAAGCACAGGCATTCCTTAGGGAGCCATCTTTGCCTGAAAAGACCATTGAGTCTGAAGTAAACAGTGCAGTTTTTAGGACTCTAATTTATAAAATTGTCATTTTTTTCATAAAACTTTTTTTCTGGTTTCATGCAGAAATTGCCTTTGATATAAACTATGAAACCAATAGAATTGGATAGAAGATGTTGTTCCTAATTTATAGCCACCTATGTTTTCTAATCTTTTAAGAGGTAATGTGGAACCATGTTGTTCAATAAATAAAGTGGAGAGATAAAAGTTGTAAAGTTATTTGGAATAAATGAGAGCACGATTTGGCAGATAAAAGTAAAATAACTCTTCTGGCAGATTTTCAGTGAGCTAAAACATAATACAAAAAATGTAGGTCAGAAAAAGCCCACTCCTTTCATTAATAGATGTATTTTAATCTTTTCACTGACTCTGGATAATCCTAACCACAATAATTTTTTTCTAAGATTAGGAAGATAATGAAGCTATGTCAACCCCCACAAATGCATTTCATACCAGCTATAGCAAGATATCTTTGCTAGCATCTGCATACATGGGTAATATAAAATCCCAGTGTTAAATATATCACTTGGATAAGTGCAGAGAATAATTAACCATCTTTATGTAAATATTTTTAAAATATATAAAATTAGTCCATCTTTTAAGAATAGAGGTTCTAGAAAAGTGACTTCTACAGTTTCACATATTTCACGGCACTGTCCCTCCAATGAAATAATAAAGAATTATATTCATACTGATAAAATGTAATGTTTCAAAAGTGATTTTTCTTTTGATATTTTTAATGATTAAAATGTTCAGTTTGTGAAGTAGTTAGAAGAAAGTAAAGTAAGCACATTGTAGTATTATTAAAAGCCATTGATTGGATGGTTGATATAATCAATAAAAATTTGTTGGGCACAGTATGTTCCATAATAAAGGCATACATAAAATCCTCTGGGGGTGAGGGGCAAGGGGAAGGAGAACATTAGGACAAATACTTAATGCATGTGGGGCTTAAAACCTAGATGACAGATTGATAGGTGCAGCAAACCACCATGGCACATGTATAACTATGTAACAAACCTGCACGTTCTGCACATGTATCCCAGAACTTAAAGTAAAATAAAATTGTTTTAAAAAATTATTTGAAGGCACAGTGGAAGGCTTGGCCACTTCTTATGGAAAGAACACAAAATGTTATCAAACAGAGAGACACTTAGGAAGCTGAATTGTCAGTCATATGCCAACTGAGTAAAGTAAGGAAAAGGCATTCCACCCTAAGGAAACAGGACATGTGAAAGTAAGATGGAAAAGAGCACAGTATGGGAGGGAATTTCAAAATATTTCCTTATTACTATAAGTCATGATAAGCAATAATCTGGTTGTAAGAACATATTATGCAGTGTGAATTAATTGAGGTTTGTTTGGCAATGGAAACTAGAAATGATTCAAAATTTTTGAATACCGAATGTGTATGGAAAAATAAAAGATATTAAAAAGTGAGGATCAGAAGCCTTTGTAGGCAAAATTCAGGAAAGCAAAGGTCACCTGGTGGCCATCAAGCAGACCATCCAGAGGCAAAACTCCTTATCTGAGGAATTCAGAAGTAATCAGAATTCCTTATTATCTAAAGCCTGCATTCTGTACCAGGCTTTCTTCCCAAAAATTCATAAGTAACTAGAATTTCTATACATCTCCATAATGAATACATGCCAAAACTCATTGTGCAATCTTTGCTGACATCAAGGTACTAAAATGTCTACAAATGTAATGATTTATCATGACCTATGTGACTAATATGGTCCAAATTACCCTTCAGCTTCTGCTTTAAGTTCTATGAATAACCCTAAGAAAAATCCATCAAGGCGTGCCCAGTCTTTTCTTGCTGAAGAGCTCCATTGCACTCTTCTGCTGTGTTCTAATTAATACAGTTGTCTTTTTCAAACCCTTACTGTTGTCAGTAAATTCTTTTTTATCCCCCAAGAGCCAACCACTTTCCATTGCCAATACTCTGACACCTCGCCAGGCAAAAATGATGCCTCAGTAATATCTATGTTATCTTTTCCTGAATGTCATTTAAATGAATAGTGAAATACATAAAAATTAAAAAAAAAAACAGTAAAAAGAACAGAAAGTTAAGGATGCATGCTCCTCATATGCCACAAATGTCAAGGAATGTAATTAACTAAGCAGACCAATTTTTAGACAGTAGCTATTAGCTCCGAGATAACTAAGATAAAGCAAAGTAGATGGCTGTATAGAATACCTACAGAGGCTATCCATATATTAAGAAATGTAGATGAATAAATAAACAAAAAGGATGCAAGAGCAGTGATCTGGGAAACACTAAGAGCACCGGAGGAACAATTACATGGACAATCTATCTGACATACCTCCCTAAAAAGTATTAATCAGTTTCAGGGTTATTGATGTTTTAAACAAAATAAACAATAAAAACACAACAAATGTTTATTTCTTGCTTACGTCAATTCAGATTTTGCAGGGGTGATGGGAATGTGTAAATTTGGCTCCCACACAGTGAGAGAGGAGAAAGGAAAAAACTGGGTCAGGCAGGCCATTAGGGTGGGTCCTCGGCTGAATCCTTTCAAAAAAGAACAGCCTGCAGGCACAGACAAGGGAACTTGCATAGGGGGCTTGCCTAAGACATGCCCACAGCCTCACAAATAGGAAAGGCTACACAGGTAACTTGCCCAGACATGCCTGTAGTGGAAAATTCCATTCCCTGATACATGAGCAGTAAGGGGAACAATGCAAAATGGAGTAACTCAAACTAAGGGCCCATGTGTGCACTGCAGGAATGGGGTGGAGCCACCAGAAATTCGTGCGTTATGCAAATAAGATGCCCAGCCCTCATTGGTTTCTTATAAAAGCCTTTGCATTCAACTGTAAAAACTGCAACGCTCTTCCAGATTTACAGTGGAGAGCTTTCTTCTTTCACTTACTAAACTTTCACTCTAACCTCACCCTTTGTGTCCATGCTCCTTAATTCTCCTGGTCCTGAGACAAAGAACTCCCAGTGATACCTCACAATGAGAGACTGCTACATTGTGGTGTATTGGTGAGACTGTAACAATACTGTATATCTGACAAGAGACTTTCATCCAGAGTATAAAGAATTCCTACAAATAATAGAAAAAAAGGCAAAAAACCCAGTTTTGTAAAAAGTGGGCAAACGGGCCTGTCAAAAAATGAAGATATTCAAATGGGCAATAAACAAAAGGAAATATGCTGAATGTCATTATGTATCAGGGAAATGTAAATTAAAACCACCCAGATATACTACTATAAACCCTAAAAAAAAATCCCTGAATATATCAATAGTTTGTGATAATGCAGAGCAACTTGAATACTCTTACATTGTGGATTGGGATGTACATTATACAGTGCTATAAAAAATTGTTTGGCAGTATCTACTAAAAATGAAAATACCAGTGCTAGATACTTGGTCTCCTTGGTGCATACCCAACAGAAACAGAGATGATTTCCATGCTGTTATTAATTTGACTTAAAATTTGACTTAATAGCTTATTATAGGAACATGATGTCATTTAGTCTTTTCAAAAACTCCAAAATCCTGCTTTTCACTTGAGGAAGTAGATTTAGAAAAATTAAACACAGTATCAATAACATATTTTTGGAGTTATTTAATATAGGCTCAAAATTGGCCCCCCTCACTTGATAATAGGTTAACTTTGGGCCAATGACCTTGGGTCTTTATTCCTCAGCTGCATTATCATGAATCTGGAGATAAGAGAGGTACGTAGGGGTATTTTGTCATTTAACTAATATGATGCATGTAAAAATCTCCTGAAAATAAGTAACAATAATATTGACTATAATAAAATTTTTAAGGTATCTAGGAATAAACGTAAGAGAAACCTGGACTATTTTAGAATGCTCATTTTTGTTGTAAATCTTAGCAGATTCTTCCATGAATAGAGTTTTGTTCAGAAAAGAAGTTTTGCTAACAAAGCGAATAATGCATGCAGCCGAGGGTTTCTAACTCTAGTATCATTTTTTCCTTTTGCCTTTTCCCCTGGAAGTTACAGCTGTTCATATTGGTTTGCAAAGATTTCAGGAAAATCCCTGTTGAATCAAACATTTTCCAGTTCTCAGGGCTGTAAAGAAGCACTGATGCCTTCCTTCTGTTTCATCCCATGCATTTATTGATAAGACACAGGTTTTATAGCTGTTGGGGATTTGTCCTACCTAACAGTATTATGAAATTTATAGAGATTGCTGCTTCACAGTAGGATCTAAAAGGAATGTGCCTGGAACTCTAGAGATTCACAGGGATGCTACTTATATACAGTATTTGATCCTAGTAGTAAAAATGACAACTCCATAAAGACAGAAACGGCTCTTTTGGAGATGATAAATTAATAATCTCCACAGGTTATAAAAATTAAATTAAAAACCAATGTAGATGCTGGCAGAATTTGAGCACAATACGGAATGTTTGATGGAAAATAAAAGCAAAGATTATCCAATGTAGATTTGTGATGTGTTAACAAAGTGGGAATTGTGATTTATAATTTTGCTTAATTGACACTTTTTCTATGAAAAGTAATAATGACAGGTAATAGAACAGTTTTATGTTCACATGGTATATAAAAGAATTGACAAGATGCTACAGCTAAATGGTGACAAGTGGAAATTTGCGTTTGCCCTATGTGTGGGGTTTGATTTTCTTCATCTAAAAAAATATGAATAGAGCTGGTTATTATGCATTTACTCCCCACCTGCAACCCACATTTCATTTTCCATATTTGTCCAACCTGTTCTTTCTAATCAGGGAGTCCGACCTCCAGTCTGCACTACTAGAGAACCAAGTCTGCTGGTTCAGCATTGCTTCCCATTTGAGTAATTACATCCAGTTTTCCTTGGTTAGTGAAATGCTGCCCTCTGTCCTCTCTCAACACGATTATCGTCACAGATAGTAGGAAGCCCAGTTCTATGGCAGCAGCTCTCAGTGGTTAACTTCAAACAACAGGCTTGGTTACCACTTAGCTTCACAAAAATGTTCTCTTGGTTCTTGAAAGTTATTAATAGCTAAATCTACAATATCTATTTGGTGTATATTATTTCCTACAGAGCAGGAACTGTGTTTCACTACTAAAGGTTTTATGAGACCAGTCTCTGCTTATTACCTTGGAGGATATAATCTGTGTGTGTGGTGGGGTGATGGTGCAGGGAGGATGCATTAGATCTTGAGAATGACCATTGTTTTCTTGTAAGACATTTGCCCCAGATGATTTAAAACATTTATCTGCAGTAAAAAGGTGCACACACGTTGAGTTTATTTTTTTATTTCTTTGGACTCCAAGACTGCAGGTGTTAAAATTTTATTAGTAGACAATTGATCAAAACCACATATTATAAACATATTATAATTCTCTATGAATAATTATAAAATATAGCAGCAAGTAAGATATTATAAATGCCTACTTCAATGAGATAAATGGGGCTTTTTCCCAATAATTTTATGTACTCATCTGACTGTTACATGTTTGAAAATACAGAAGTTAATTTTATAAAATTATTAAAATTTATTTTAAAACATTTTTGGTAGAGTAAAACTTGAAAATGCTTTTATTCACATAAGGGAAATACTTAAAAAGAAAGGAATTTTATTTTACCAATAAATTTGTAGGACTTCTTTTAAGTTTAATGCCAAAGATCACAACATGGGCATCATTTAATTTTTTAAAATATGATATCTCTTTTAGGTCATCCAATTTCTTGAATAAAAAAATCTGAAACAACCTGATTTTTAAAAGAATGTGTTACCAGCTGTTAGTATCATTCACTTTCTTTCTTTTGTCATATAGCTTTATTTAGTTATACAGACACCAGTAGTTCACATTGACCTTTTGTTTTTGGGCTTGGGAAGTTTTACAATCTCAGGCAGTGTACCAATAGTAAAATTTGGTTCATATGTCAACTGGGAGATGGTCAATTTTAATGGAGAGAGCAGAAAAAAAGAATTAACAAGAGTTTTCAACTCCAGGCCTAATTTTAGGCAGATTCCTTTTAGAAAATAATATATTTGGAAACTGAGGTCCTGGAAATTGATTTCCTTTGTACATAGGAAAAAAGTCATGCATCTTGGTTTTCACTCAGCCTAGCTTGAAAACCACCCGTTGCTCTATTCCTTCATTGGAATTTTAAATTGCCTGTGCTTGAGGAATCTAATTAATTCTCTTTCTCTTCAGATGCACACATACATGCCCACACACACTCACACATTAGTATGAGCCATGTTTTTTTTTCTACATTAAACATTTTCTTTAAAACTAGATTATAAATCATTGAAGATAATATTTGGCTATGCATTCTATGTCATTTGTGGAGTCATGGGGCTTATACACCCAGTAAATACCAAATGAACATGAACTATTAAGAAGTATTGGGGTAGAGGCAGAATACCTGGTTTGGTATCCTGGCCCTGATATTTTCATTTTGTTATACCTGGGATTGCAGCATAACTTCTCAGATCATTCCTTAATCTACTCATTTGTAAAATAGGCGTTATATAGCTGCTTTCTCACATAAGTTTGTGAAGATTAAATAAAATAATATATCCAAAGCTCTTACAACACTGACAGAAATTAGTCAGTGCTCAAAAGATGTTAGTTCTTATGATTATTCTTAATAAATATCGTATATACCTCACCTGCAGAAAATCAGCTATAACTCTAGCAGCACCAACGTTTTTAATTAGATTTGGAATCAGTTTTTACACAATTCATTATTTTAAGTCTTTCCTACTTCCAACCCAGATAAATACTAACACCTGTAGATGCTCTGAAATTTCATGGCTTTATGCTTGCATTTCCAGCTCTTCTAGTAATAAGTGGACCGCTTGGATTATACACTCAGACTCTTCAACACAGTTTTCTGATACATGACCATGGTGAGTAGGACATTTCTGACATCTCTGTGCTCCCTATAGTAACCAAATTAAGAAATAGGGTTTTTTTGTTGTTGTTGAGACAGAGTTTCACTGTTGTTGCCTATGCTGGAGTGCAATGGCATGATCTCGGCTCACTGCAACCTCCATCTTTCAGGTACAAGCGATTCTCCTGTCTCAGTCTCCCACGTAGCTCAGATTACAGGCATGTGCCACCACGCCTGGCTAATTTTTTTGTATTTAGAAGAGATGGGGTTCACCATGTTAGTAAGGCTAGTTGTGAAGTCCTGACCTCAGGTGATCTTCCCACCTCGGCCTCCCAAAGTGCTGGGATTACAGGCATGCGCCACCGCGCCCAGCCTAGAAATAGGTTTTTAACTTAATTTTACTATAAATCACAACAAATTTCCATTTTGAGATAATTAGGAAGGGTTATTTTTAGTACATTTAGAGGAAATTGTTACTGAAGCTTTGATCACATATTATCAAATTAAGTTCAGGACCAAGTATTGCAGATTACATGTGTCATAACATTTGTAAAAGAATTAAATCAAACTATTCAAAATTAAATAAGTATGCATTGCATTTGGTGTGTTATAGAAATAATTATTCAGTTAAATTACTTAAGAATGATTTTGTATAAAAACCTGCTTTATGGGGCCCTTGTAAATACAGGAACCTTGGTGAGATAAAGGTTCAAAACTGAAAAAAGTCACTTTGAGGAATCATAACAAAACTAAATTTCCATATATCAAGTAGGTTATGAGAAGATGTGTATTCCACTACCCATTCCCACCAACTCACTTGAAATGTCATTCACCCAACCTTATTTGAAAATTTAATACAAAGATTACATTTTTCTCATCGTTCCTCTTAATAGAGAAAAAATTAAGGCAAATATTTTTTTAATAAAATATGCTTCCAAGTATTTAAAATGATTCATAACATACCTCTATTTTGAAAAGCAAAAATAGCAAGCTAAGCTTAGCTGTTTCCAGTACATAAATCATCATGATAGCAACAACAAGGCAGCGTGATGATATAGAGTATCTTATGCAGCAAGTCCTGGTGTAACTCAGCATGGTATGCAGAGAGTTTGAATGGATTAATCACACCATTCTATATTACCTTAAATGATGCATTATATTCAAAATATTATTATTGTCTAGGCCATTTCCCTTTATAAAATCCTATTCTTCTTATGATGCTGCTATAAAATGTTAAATGAAATTTCAGAGGCATGATTATTTGATTAAAAGAGGTTTAGAGAGGAAAAAAAAACCTTGTAATTTTTTTTTTTTTACAAATGTAACTGCTTGTCATGCCTTTAAAAAATATAGTATGATGAACATATTTCATTGTTTATTGATGACTATGTGTTTTCTGCCCTTAAGGCATCATTAAGAATACCAGTTGTTATTGAATAGCAGACTTTGGTGGAATTAAATAGCCTGTGCCAAGTCTCCCCAAATCCCCTAAAACCAATGCAAGTTACTTTATTTGATTGTTTTTCTCCTAAAAGAATAGCCTGAAAAATGGAAAGAGTTCACCAAAGCTTTTGATTAGTCCAATTTTCTTATTGAAATCCCTATATAGGCATACACAGATTTTACATACACCTATACACTCACATTACACACACATATACTTATTTGATGAAGTCGCTTATGACTTCAAAATATACTTGACAGTTTATCACTTTTGCTTATTTTTATTTTATATTTTTCTCACCGTTTATTCATCAGTCCTTATCATGTCTCCATTTCTTATATAGGTGCTTCAGAAAGGAAAATAAATAGCCCATGTCTGCTTACAAAAATACATATCTAAATAGAACATGCTGCATTTTCTAAGAATCCCTCAGTCACCTCAGTAAGGGCAGATAGAAAGAACAGTCTGCCCCCTCTCCCACCCCAGTCCAGGAATGCCACACATCTAAGAAAGGACCTCAAAATTATGCAATCATCCACATCTGTCTTTTTCTTCACTCTCATGAAAATTACTACGAAAATATCTCTGTTGCCTCTTTACTGAGTAAACTTCCAATAGTCCTGTTTCTTTCCAATCAGTTGTCCAAAGTGCTGTTAGAGTGGTTAGCTCAAAAGGAAAATCTGTTGATGTAATTTCCCTGCTTAAAATTATTTTGTAACCTTTCTCTCCACTTCTCCTTCCCAAATGCACCCAAAACTTAACAAATCAGTTTTACGAATGGCAGTATAGTGTAATGCAGTGTTTCTCAAACTGTGGTTTATGATTTAATATTAGCAGGTCATATTTATCAATTTAGTGGGTCATGTGACCTTCAATTTCAATAAAATAAAAAATAGAATATGATGGAGTAGAATAGAAAATAACATAGCACACACAATTACTAAACTCATGGCAGATCCAGAGCCTTGAACAACAATACTTGGCCACAAAAAGCCACATATAGACCAAATAAAGAATGTGCTGTATCATTTGGAGATCATGGACTTAACTGGAGGCAATGATTGGATAAGGCTTTGTCTCCCTTGGGGAAATGATGAGTGTATTCTATATGTGTGAGAAAAAGCGGAATTCATATTTAATGATGTTTCCATTTCCTATTGCTGCAAAGCAAATTGTGGCTTAAAAACAATTATTATTTGCCATAATTCTGTGGGTCGAATGGTCAGTTCTTCTATTCTCTCTGGTGTCGGTTGAAGTCACCAACTAGGTTGCATTCAGGTGGCTTTTCACATGTTTGGGGCCTTGCAGTTGACTGTAGCCTGGGGCTCTCTGTGTTCTCTGACTCTTATGGTATCTTGTTTTCCATGGGTTCTTTATGTGGCCTCTTTAGAAAATTAGGCTGGGCATCCTTGCAGCCTCTTAAAGGTTATGCAGCACATGAATACTTCTCCTGGATTCTATTAGGTTGGTCCAAAAGTAATTGTGGTTTTTGCCATTACCTTTAGTCTTGCCATTAAAAGTAATGGCAGAAACTGCAGTTACTTTTGCATCAACCTAATGTTAGTCAAAACAAACTTCAAGAGCAGTGTAGATGCAGAGACAGAGGAGGCAATCTCCATCTCTCAATTGGAGGCGTGGCCAAAAATTATGGCAATCTTTAATCCACACAGATTTTCTGTAACAGGACTTATTCTTTTTGAGAAAACAAATGAGTCCTCCAAACCCATTATATTTTTACCCTGGGCACCCATGATAGACTATAAATCCAAGACGCTTTGTGTTTAAGTGGGATAATAACTACTTCTGACCGTTGGAATGTGAGTCACTGTTTGTCACATGTAAGCTAAGGCAGTTAAGAAAATATGTATGCCCTTACACTATAGTCTTTCTTTGATTCTGCATTGATCAGAAGCATGCATTGAGAGACATGGAGATCCTAGGAGAAGGTTACCTACTAGACGGGAGAATCTCAGGTCCATAATTCACTTAGAGCAGAATAGGGTATGTGAAAAATAAACTGTTACACAATCTAGCTGTTACAGTGTCTAGTATTACTTACTGTGACTAATACATAAGAAGAGGTATTCTTGTGTGACACTTTTATTTCAGAGACATGTGTGGGTGGGTGGGTGCAGTGGCCCTGTAGTGTGTATAAAATAATTCTAACTTACTGCATCATTAAGTGAAAATAGAACAGTACCAACTTCATAAGATTTTGTGATAATAAACTGATTTAATGCATGTGTATCAGTTAAAGTCCCAGAAAAAATATAAAACCTAACCTAAGTAAAATAATAAAGAAGTTAAAGATGAGGCACTTGTTATGAAGGTATTATAAATGTTGAAGTGATAAACTGAAAAATAAGGTCCCACAGAGCTTAATAGAGAGGAGCCAATGTCTTCCCTAGGGGCTGAAAGATAAAGGGTGGTTGTGGTATCTGGAGCTGGAGTTGGGAAGACAGAAGGAGAAGGTTGTAGGCAGGAAATTGGAATCATGATTCCAGCCCTGCTACATCAGAAGGCACTGACTTTACTCCACTTGTTTTTCTTCAGCCTCCCTCTGGAGCCTCCCATGCCAAAACCTAACTAAAAACAAGTTTGCAAAAGAATGGAATAAATTCAATTTTCAGGAGGTATCCTGCTATAATACAGAAGAGTAAGAAAGGATAGGGAACTGATCTAAGAAGAAATATTATGGTCAGCACAACATACAAAGGGTTAAAAATACAAACAACTATTAACTAAATATGCTATTATATTTCCACATGCTTTGTTTCAACCATGTAGTGTTGATTCTTCTCAGGGTGCTTGAAAATGTCATCAGCTGGTAAGGAACTCACATAGAATACATAACACAAAAGTAGCCAGTCTCTCCCATTACACTGCAAGTGCCTAGTCTGTGTCTCATTCAATGGTATATCTCCAGGTACTGGCAGGTTACTCAGCAAACAGTCTTTCAATGAATGTTTTGTTATTGAAAACAACATAATGCATTTTATTCAAATGAATATGAGTAATCTATTCTCTGTAACGTTTCTGGCACTGATTATGTTCAGGATATCAGAACTTCCCTTTAGGTCAGCCAACTGTTCTTCTCTCATTCTTTCTTGATTCCACCTGATGCAACACTTCCTTTAATTAAAATGTATAAATATGACAAACTATTTAAATGCTTCTTTTCACTTATGAGATACTCTGACATGATGCCACTATCTGTTTTCAACCTAATTTTCCAGCTTCATGTTTTCCTTCTGCTCAAGTACATTCAGTCTGTTCAAATACATTCAACTCTTTAATGCACATACTATCCCCTCTTATGGAATATCTTTCAGTATTGCTCTGTCAGCTACCTAGTGGCAACTACTCATTCAAGTTTCAATTCAACCTCTTGATGAAGACCTTTTTTGTTTCCTCAGGAGAAATTATGTCATATTTTTTTCATTGTACTTATTTCTACTAGAGCTCTGTGTTGGTTACATATCTTTACTTATCAGTGGTTTTTATCCTTATCTGCACATTAAAATCACCTGGAGATTAACAATCAAAATAGGCCTGTATATATCACAAAATTGAAATGATAATTTATAACCTTCCGAAACAGAAAGCACCATGCCCAGATGGATTTACTAGTAAATTCTATCAAATATTTAAGGAAGAAATTATAGCAATTCCCTATAATCAATTACAGAAGACAGAAGCAAAAGGAATACTTCCTCACATTATTCTATGAGGTCAACATCACCACAATACCAAAACTAGACAAAGACATCACAAGGAAAGAAAACCACAGAATGATATCTTTTATGAATGGTGACATAAAAATCTTTAACAAAACACTAAATTCAATAACGTATAAAAAGAACTATATAGCATGATCAAGTTGTGTACGTTTGGGTCAACATGAAAAACACAATATAACCCATCACATCAATAGAAAGAAAAATCACCTACTCATATCAATAGATGGAGAAAAAGCATTTGACAAAATTTAACGCTTATTCATGATAAAAAGGCTCAGTAATCTAGGAATAGAGGGAACTTCCTCAACTTGATAAAGAATGCTTACGTAAAACATAGAGCTAATATCACAGTTAATGGTGAGAAACTAGAATATTTTTCACTAATATCAAGAGCAAGCCAAGGATGTTCCTTTTTTTTTTTTTTTTGAGACAGAGTTTCTCTTATTGCCCAGGTTGGAGTGCAATGGTGCAATCTCTGCTTTCTGCAACCTCTGCATCCCGGGTTCAAGTGATTCTCCTGCCTCAGCCCCCTAAGTTTCTGGGATTACAGGCATGTGCCAACATGCCTGGCTAAATTTTTATGTTTAGTGGAGACGGAGTTTCACCATGTTGGTCAGGCTGGTCTCGAACCCCTGACCTCAGGTGATCCACCTGCCTCGGCCTCCCAAAGTGCTGGGATTACAGGCGTGAGACACTGCAGCTGGCTGGATGTTCCCTTTGCTATTCCTTTTCAGGATCACACTAAAATGTCTAGTTACCATAATAAGACAAGAATATGGAAGAAAATAATATCATACAGTGATGAGGAAGGAACAGATAAAACTGTCTTTGCTTACAGATAATGTGATTGTCTGTGTCAAAAATACAAAATAATAGAATTTTTAAAAAACTTATGGAAATAATAAGCAATTACAGTAAGGTTGTAAGACAGAAGGCTAATATACAAAAGACTGGCCGGGCAAGGTGGCTCATGCCTGTAATCCCAACTCTTTGGGAGGCCGAGGCGGGTGGATCACTTGGGGTCAGGAGTTCAAGACCAGCCTGACCAACATGGTGAAACCCCATCTATACTAAAAATACCAAAAAAAAAAAAAAAAAAAAAATTAGCTGGGCGTGGTGGCAAGCAACTGTAATCCCAGTTACTTGGGAGGCTGAGGCAGGAGAATCACTTGAACCTGGGAGGCAGAGGTTGCAGTGAGCCAAGATCGCGCCACTGCACTCCAGCCTGGCAACAGAGTGAGACTCCATCTCAAAAAAAAAAAAAAAAAAAAAAAAAGACAATCATTTTCCTGTAACTCAGTAATGAAGAAGTAAATTTTAAAATTAAAAACAAGAGCATTTATATTAGCATCTCCAAAATGAAACACTAGCAAAATATGTGTAAGATATATATGAGAAAAATTACAAAACTGATGAAATAAATCAAAGAAGAACAAATTAATGTTCATAGATCATAAGACTCACTATTGTCAAGATGTCAGTTTTTCCCAATATGATCAATAGATTCAATGTAATTCCAATTAAAATCTCAGCAGTTATTTTGTAGATATTGAAAATCTGACCCTGAAGTTTATAAAGCGAGGCAAAAGACTCAGAATAACCAACATAATATTGAAGGACCAAGTTGAGAGAGTGACACTATGTGACTCAAAATTTACTATAATGCTATAGTAATCAAGATCATGTAGTATTGGTGAAAGAATAAACACATACGTTAATGGAACAGAATAAAGAGCCCAAAACCAAATTCGTGTAAATAGTCAACTGATATTCAAATAGTCAAAGGAGCAATGGCAATGGTAATACAATGGAGAAAAAAATAGTCATTTCAACAAATTCTGCTGGAACAACTGGCCATTCACATACTAAAAAACAAAAGCTAAACAAAACAAAATAAAGCAAAATAAAGAATCTAAATACAGACCTTACACATTTCACAAAAATTAACTCAAAATAAATAACAGATCTAAATGTAAAATATAAAACTATAAAGCGGCTGGGCACAGTGGCTCACCCCTGTAATCCCAGCACTTTGGGAGGCCAAGGTGGGCGGGATCACTTGAGGTCAGGGGTTCAAGACCAATCTCACCAACATGGTGAAACCCCATCTCTACTAAAAAAATAAAAAATACAAAAATTAGCCGGGCATGGTGACGGGTGCCTCTAATCCCAACTACTGGGAAGGCTGAGGTAGGAGAATTGATAGAACTCGGGAGGCAGAGGTTGCAGTGAGCTGAGATTGTGCCACTGCACTCCAGCTTAGGCAACAGAGACTCATCTCAAAAAAACAAAAAGCAA
This sequence comes from Homo sapiens, assembly GCF_000001405.40. Taxonomy (NCBI): domain Eukaryota; kingdom Metazoa; phylum Chordata; class Mammalia; order Primates; family Hominidae; genus Homo; species Homo sapiens. Next base: position 83,953,562 of record NC_000013.11, read on the forward strand.
AAATTAAAAGAAAAAAACTATAAAACTAGAAGATAACTTGTGAAAAAATTTAGATGACCTTATGTTAGCAGTCACTTTTTAGATTCAATACCACAGACATGATATGTAGATATGTGGTATGAAATAATTGATAAGTTGGACTGCACTAAGATTTAAAAATATGCTCTGCAGAGACACTGTCAAGAGAATGAAAACAAAAGCCACAGATGAAGAGACAATATTTGCAAAAAGCAAATGGGATATAAAGGACTACTAAATAAAATTTTCAAGAAACTCTTAAAATGCAAGTGTAAGAAAACAAATAGCTCGATTAATAAATGGACCTTAACAGATACTTCACCAATGCACATGGCAAAAAGGGGGTCACATTATCAGGGATATCCAAATTAAAACAGCAATGAGATATCACTATGTACCTATTACAATAACCAAAATCCAGAACACTGACATCAAATGCCAGTGAGAATGTAAAACAACAGGAACTCTCACTCATTGCTGATGGGAATGAAAATTGGTATTCTTTACAAAACTAAACATACTCTTACCATATGACTCAGCAATCACAGTTTTTGTTTTTTTTTAAAGGGGGTTGAAAATTCATGCCATGACAGAAAGCTGTATAAGGATGTTCATAGCTGTTTTATGCATAATTGCTAAAACTTGGAAGGAACCAAGATGTCCTTCAGTAAATTAGTGGCTACATAAACTGTGGTACATTTAGACGATGGAATGTTACTCGGTGCTAAAAAATAAATGAGTTATCAATCCGTAAGAAAACATGGAGGAAAATTGAATACATATTATTAAGTGAAGGAAGCAAATTGGAAAATGCTACATACTGTATGATTCCAACTATATGACATCCTGGAAAGGGCAACTATGGAGACAGTGAAAATATCAATGGTTGCAAAAGACTAGGAGGCAGAGAAGGATGAATAGATGTAACACAGAAGATACTTAGGGTGGTAAAATATTATGTATAGTATTATGGCGATTCATTTCATTACACATTTATCCAAACTCATTAAATGTATAACACAAAAGGTGAACTCTAATGTAAACTGGACTTTGGGTGACAGTGATATGCCAATGTATTTTATCAATTTTAACAAAGTACCACTGTATTGAAACTGCCTTTATAAGATTTTAAAAGGCCTCGATTAGAATTATGGTAGGAGCCTAAATTTTGGTAAGATATTTTCCTTTCTCTCTTTTTCTTACTCCATGCATGATTGCTTGCACATAATCATTTCAATAAATAGTAGTCACTGGTAATAGATTATCTTCCTATTCTAGTCCCCAGGCAGGCTGCCCACACAATTAATAAACTTGTATTTTTCTTTTAAAGAACATTGATCCTTAGATCACGCAGCCCCCTTGGATGGCTTCCCGGAGTTGAACTGGGTAAATGTGGGGTGATATGCCTGCAGCTTTAACCACGAGGAGCTCTTTTCTGCTTAGCTATAGGCATAGTTAAATGATATCCCACCATTGTTTGCCAGCTTGGCTTCTGTAGTAACCAGCAGGCACAAACACTATTGTAAAACCTAACACTTGGTTTTGAGATATTTTTCAGACTTTGCCTACAAGTTGACAAACTGACACCAACAGGACTTGTGGCCTGTGTCAAGCAAGGACTTGTCAAGATTAGCCAAGCAAGGACTTGACTAATCTTATAACTCTCTCCCTTCCTGGGAATTGATTCAGCGCATGAAGACAGCCTTGTCACCGCTATAATTTCATTCCGGACCAATCAGCAGCATCTATCTCCTAACCCCACTGCCCAACAAATCATCTTAAAAAATCTAGTCTCTGAAGTCTCAGGGAGGCAGCCTTGAGAAATATCTCCCATCCTCCTTGCTGAGTTGCCTTGCAATAATTAAATTCTATCTTTAATATAGTACCTGCTGTCTCAGTGTTTAGCTTCATCTGGACAGTCAGCATGGCTCTAGTCAGGTGATAACCCTGTTGGGAGTGGTGATTTGATGATGGAGAAAGCTATGCATGTATAGAGGCAGGGAGTATATGAGGTGTCTGTACCTTTTTCTCAATTTTGCTGTGAACCTTAAACTACTCTAAACAAATATTTTACAAAACTCACCGGGGGATTTAAAATAGCTTGAAGCATTGATCATATCTGTAACAATTATATCAGAATCTCTGGGGTGTAATCCAGGCATTAGTAGTTGAACCTAGGCATCAGTAATTTTAATGCCTTCCAAGTAATGTCTATGTCAAGTTTGCAGAGCACCCTACTAGACTGTGAATTACATTGGGGAAGAGATTGGGCCACTTAAAACCATGTTATTTGTATGGGCTTCAGTACTTCTCTTTTTTGTTTTTTTTTTTGTTTTGTTTTTTGAGACGTAGCCTCACTCTGTCATCCAGGCTGGAATGCAGTGGCGCAGTCTCAGCTCACTGTCACCTCCGCCTCCCAGGTTCAAGCGATTCTTCTGCCTCAGCCTCCTGAGTAGCTGGGACTACAGGCGAGTGCCACCACAACCTGCTAATTTTTGTATTTTTAGTAGAGATGGGGTTTCACTATATTGGCCAGGCTGGTCTCAAACTCCTGACCTTGTGATCCGCCCGCCTCAGCCTCCCAAAGTGCTGGGATTACAGGAGTGAGCCACCGCACCCGGCCTGGGCTTCAGTACTTCTTATAGCAATTTCTAAAACATAGCAGGCCATCAGAAATATTACCTAAATAAAGTAGAGAATATATACATTTACTCAAGTATAAAATTTATATCCTACTTTTAAAATTGAACTTAAAGAGACTATGGTAATATCATTGGCTTAAATGAACTCTCTTTAATCCTCTTTTAGAAGTGGTTAAATGTGGATACACTAAAAAAATAATAATCAAACAGTCTGGCTACAGTGATTACATTCACTGATTAAGCTTAGGAAAATTCTCAATCACTCTCCTAGGAATGTATATCTAGATGAACTGTTACATTATTATTAGGGGATTTAAGTGCACTATACATACTGATATATTAAGAAGTTCATTCAAATGACTTATGAATCATTTACTGCCTTGGATTCACTGATTTAATATGATCTATTATGACATATCATACCCATGTTTTGTATTTATTATGTTGAATACAATTTTTCCAGAAAATTGACAATAAAGTAATCTTCACAGACCTTTGATGATTTTTTTCCTTAGGCAAATATTTCAATATACACTTATTTTAGAAAAATGTCTTGATGAAGCCAAGTTTATGGGTTTTTAACTTTTTTCATCTGAAATTTTGTCTATGGATTCTTGGCCATCTTAATTGTCATTCAGTGAAAATGGGGGGAAAGAAAAAGAAAAGGCTTACTGGATTTTTTAAAATGACTGCTTGAAACACGCATTTAGAGAAGGGAATGAAAGAATGTTGACAAAAGGAATCTCAGTCTTAGGACTTTATCAATTAAGTAGAAAGATTGTGGGGAAGAAAGCATTTTTCTAAATAAGTACTTTAATCTAGAGAGACAGAAATGATGGGGAAAAAGTTTGAGTTCATGCTTGAAGCCAATATTTCTGCCACTGATTAGATATCAAAAAAAGAAGAAAAAAAGTACAGTATGTTAAAACAATGCACAGCAGATCTCATTGATATTATGTAAACTGTCTTTCACCATTTCTACCTTTTTTTTTTTTTTTTTTTTTTTTGAGACTGTGTTTCATTCTGTCACCCAGCCTGGAGTGCAGTGGCGCAATCTCGGCTCGCTGTAACCTCCACCTCTTGGGTTGAAATGATTCTCCTGCCTCAGCCTCCAGAGTAGCTGGGACTACAGGTGTGAGCCACCTGTACAAAAATTAACACCCGGCTAATTTTTGTACTTTTAGTAGAGAGGGGATTTCACCACGTTAGCCTGACCTCAGGCATTCTGCCTACCTTGGCTTCCCAAAGTACTGGGATTGCAGGCATGGGCCCACCATTCCTTCTTGATGAACTAAAGAAGAGAAAGTATCAAAGGGCAAATATAGTATAAATACAAATGGTGCATTGACCTTTAAAAAAAGAGGTAATAAAGGTCAACCAAACTATCAATTAAAGAGAAAGATTTTATTTTATATTTAACAAAAAATGAAAAATGTATTGGCTGAGTGACAACTAATGTTGTGGTCATTGAAAAAGTAGAAGAACTCCTGGGAAGGCCACCGGATATATAAGCAGTAAACTTTAAGATATATTGAACAGCATGTATTATTTCTATATTAAACCCAGAGAGAGTAAACAAAAAAAAATTAATAAATAACATCATTCTCAAGTGTCTAGCTAAGTGGAGCATACAGACAGGCCTATCATACAAGTCATTAATTAGGGCATTTTCTTTTTCTTTTTAAAGATATATGCAGCATAATGTCACTAGAAAGGGAAATAATTAAGAACATTTTTAAAAAGAATAATAAAAATTTTCAAATTCTGATTTTGGCAGGGTTAGGAAACAAAATTATTTGGATACAAAGAATCATTGAACTATTAACTTGTAACTAGGAGGAATGAAAGGATAATTATTTCTGATATGATGAGGCTCTATTTACAAGGCTTTTGGTTATGAATTGAGACATGCCATTCATGTATTCAGGTCACCTCTTTTTTCAATTGATTTCTCTTGAGTTCTCAGGTAATACCTTTATTTTCCTGTGCCATTTACTTTACTCAAATCAGAAAATATGTTTTGATTAAAGTGCTTTATAACTGCTCAGGCTCTTATCCAGTTTCTAGATCATTCACTTTGCTCGGTTTTTCCCTGTCATGAAAATTCAACTTTCCTTTTTCCAGTGAGAAATGTCAATGTTCTTCCCAAGTGTGATGTGGACAGTGAGTGCCTGATTGTCCTTTTCTCTCAAGTGCCTTGCATGTGATAATGGTATAATAAACTGAAGTTCTCCCCGTTCTTCCGGGAAAAATGATCTCCTTAGAACCTTATTTTATCTATTGAAGCCAGTTCATTCTTAGAAGCCTTATCTTTGTATCAGCTTCGGCCTTCACAAATAAGAACTAAGATACAGTAATCTGCTGCCCCATGTTATTCTATATTATTTCCAAAGGGCTGTTCATAAAAGGCCTTTCTTGGTGAGCCCAGAAATATCAGTTACAGTGATTGATGACTCTCTATAAAAGAAAGTAAAAATATCTTCAAGTTCTCTCAGAAGAAAAATACTACCCACATGAAAGATATTTGGATCTGGCCCTTCTGCTGAACCCTTTCTTGGCTCAGAAGGAACTCTCACATCTCTCATATTCCTCAGCAGTGTCCTTTCAGAGCTTTGAAGTAATGATCCCATCAATCCTTTCTGCCTGCATCTAATCTCCAGTATTTAGAAATCTTGGAGCAAGCTCCAGATTTCAGTTTGCTTAATTCTCTATGTGTATGATAATACCTACCAGAAACACCGCTGGCAATTTCATGCTTTTTAATGGTAGGTAGGAAAGATTAAATCTATAATAGTAGCAATCGAAAATGGCATAGAAAGGCAAGATTATGTGTGAGTGTGAACTCTAATTTACTCACAATGTTAAGATATATGTTTATACACATAAGCACATATATAGGTATGTCTATATAGGTTTACATAGTTACATAGAGTAATGAGTCATCAAATATCTATTAAATAATATTTATATTAAAAAATTTGTCAAGTCATTGAAGGTACAAAACATATTATATGGACCCAGTGCCTGCTACAATCACCTTACATTCTGGTAGGAATTCTAATAAGTACAAGAAACAACTATAGAACATGTTTGCACATTTTACCTATTAATGGAATTGCAGAATAATATATACAAAATGTTCACAGAACAAACTGAACAAATTGACCTGTTTTTAAGGAGGGATTATGTCATGGAGAAATGTAATAATTTATTAAAAATGGATCAAGACTATTAAATCACAAATAAAGCATACAGATTATTAAGCCAATATTCAAATCCTTAGAGTGAAATTGTAATTTATATTAACATAATTATTTTCAATTGAAACATAAAAATTCTAATTATGTTTTGATTTTAATTTATTTAGTTCTCAGTCAAATCTACATTGTAAAAAATGAATAACCTATGCATGGTATATGTGATATTTTCTAAGTAGCCACAATATTTGAATAACTCAAGTGTCCCATTCACCTGCAATAATAATGTAATAATAATTATAATAGCTGTTCCAGGCACCAGATTTATATGATCTCATGTAATTCTCACTTGACATGTGAGAAAGCTGTGGTCAGTAAAGAAAACAAAATTTTCAAGTTTGCATAGGTAGTAAGAATCAGTTCACACTGTTCTCTGTACAGATAAACTGTCTGCTTCTGGTAGGACACAAAATTACCAGAGAGATTTACATACCGTTGAGATAAAGATAATTAATTATACTGTTTATTTGCTTCTTCTTAATATTAGCAATATGTCCCAATTTATGCAATCTTTAATTGACTTATTCTAAATCTTCTTTAAAAGGTAATCTGTCTTTTTCACATAACTGTTCATGTCGATATTTTTAATGTTTCTAAATACTTTAGCTAACATTAAGCTTTTCTTATTGAATGTTATAAGTATGTAGCTGAGTTCTATTAATATCAGGATTTTCTTACAAAATAGCATACTCATATTACTATTGTCCCTTCAATCTATATTTTTCTTTTCTTCTAATGTGGCACTCCTGCTCTCGTGACCCAGAACCATTTATATTACAATTCAAAACCAATGACAAATATGATGTAAAATTAGCAGGATAATTCCAAATAAGGCTAGCCATAAATATGCAAGAGCAAAAAGATAAATCTATTTTTAAATATTCAAATTTTGTTATAAATTGTCTCTATTTTTTCTCTGTAATCTGGGTACATGTATCTAGAAAACCTTAAATTCACATTTTCAATCTCATGAAAAATTTTGGCATAATTATAGACAATTCCTCCAAATAATTAAAATAAGAATTTAGCTATTTATTTTGTCTTTCCAACAACCATTTGTTACATTTTAACATATGAACTCTCTACTTTTTTATGGGTTCTACAGAGAGACATGCAACAATTTGTTTTTAAAAGGCACCTTTCCCCAAACTAATGCATTTTGGCACAAACTACCAAAACCACAAATAGCACACCTAGCTGCCAAAGTCATTCTGTGAATCCATCAGTAGGACACTCTGCAGCAGGATTAATCTGTCCTCAGGAACAGAGTTCACATTTGACGATGCCTAGACTAGGAATCAAAAAAGTCAAGCTTTCTTAATATTGGTCTCGGCTCATTGCACAGACTTTTTTTTTTTTTTCTTTGAGGTGGAGTTTCACTCTTGTTGCCCAGGCTGGCGTGCAATGGTGCAATCTCGGCTCACTGCAACTTCCACCTCACGGGTTCAAATGATTCTCCTGCTTCTGCCTCCTGAGAAGCTGAGATTACAGGTGCACACCACCATGCCCGGCTAATTTTTGTATTTTTAGTAGAGACAGGGTTTCACCATGTTGGCCAGGCTGGTCTTGAACTCCTGACCTCAGGTGATCCACCCACCTTGGCCTCCCAAAGTGCTGGGATTACTGGCATGAGCCACCACACCCTGCCTGCACAAACTTTGATGCTGAGAAAGCTACAGTGGCTACTTTGGCTTCTGTAAGATTAAGTTAGCATAAGCTGCTTTTATTTAAACATAAACAAAAATACACAAATGGTAAGATATTATTCATTGTTACATTGTATACGTTTTTAATATTAAAGAAGGTTTGAAGTATTCTCTGATGGTAGTTTGTATTTCTGTGGGATCGGTGGTGATATCCCCTTTATCATTTTTTATTGTGTCTATTTGATTCTTCTCTCTTTTTTTCTTTATTAGTCTTGCTAGCGGTCTATCAATTTTGTTGATCCTTTCAAAAAAACCAGCTCCTGGATTCATTGATTTTTTGAAGGGTTTTTTGTGTCTCTATTTCCTTCAGTTCTGCTCTGATTTTAGTTATTTCTTGCCTTCTGCTAGCTTTTGAATGTGTTTGCTCTTGCTTTTCTAGTTCTTTTAATTGTGATGTTAGGGTGTCAATTTTGGATCTTTCCTGCTTTCTCTTGTAGGCATTTAGTGCTATGAATTTCCCTCTACACACTGCTTTGAATGCGTCCCAGAGATTCTGGTATGTGGTGTCTTTGTTCTCGTTGGTTTCAAAGAACATCTTTATTTCTGCCTTCATTTCGTTATGTACCCAGTAGTCATTCAGGAGCAGGTTGTTCAGTTTCCATGTAGTTGAGCGGCTTTGAGTGAGATTCTTAATCCTGAGTTCTAGTTTGATTGCACTGTGGTCTGAGAGATAGTTTGTTATAATTTCTGTTCTTCTACATTTGCTGAGGAGAGCTTTACTTCCAACTATGTGGTCAATTTTGGAATAGGTGTGGTGTGGTGCTGAAAAAAATGTATATTCTGTTGATTTGGGGTGGAGAGTTCTGTAGATGTCTATTAGGTCTGCTTGGTGCAGAGCTGAGTTCAATTCCTGGGTATCCTTGTTGACTTTCTGTCTCGTTGATCTGTCTAATGTTGACAGTGGGGTGTTAAAGTCTCCCATTATTAATGTGTGGGAGTCTAAGTCTCTTTGTAGGTCACTCAGGACTTGCTTTATGAATCTGGGTGCTCCTGTATTGGGTGCATAAATATTTAGGATAGTTAGCTCCTCTTGTTGAATTGATCCCTTTACCATTATGTAATGGCCTTCTTTGTCTCTTTTGATCTTTGTTGGTTTAAAGTCTGTTTTATCAGAGACTAGGATTGCAACCCCTGCCTTTTTTTGTTTTCCATTGGCTTGGTAGATCTTCCTCCATCCTTTTATTTTGAGCCTATGTGTGTCTCTGCACGTGAGATGGGTTTCCTGAATACAGCACACTGATGGGTCTTGACTCTTTATCCAACTTGCCAGTCTGTGTCTTTTAATTGCAGAATTTAGTCCATTTATATTTAAAGTTAATATTGTTATGTGTGAATTTGATCCTGTCATTATGATGTTAGCTGGTTATTTTGCTCATTAGTTGATGCAGTTTCTTCCTAGTCTCGATGGTCTTTACATTTTGTCATGATTTTGCAGCGGCTGGTACCGGTTGTTCCTTTCCATGTTTAGCGCTTCCTTCAGGAGCTCTTTTAGGGCAGGCCTGGTGGTGACAAAATATCTCAGCATTGGCTTGTCTATAAAGTATTTTATTTCTCCTTCACTTATGAAGCTTAGTTTGGCTGGATATGAAATTCTGGGTTGAAAATTCTTTTCTTTAAGAATGTTGAATATTGGCCCCCACTCTCTTCTGGCTTGTAGGGTTTCTGCCAAGAGATCCGCTGTTAGTCTGATGGGCTTTCCTTTGAGGGTAACCCGACCTTTCTCTCTGGCTGCCCTTAACATTTTTTCCTTCATTTCAACTTTGGTGAATCTGACAATTATGTGTCTTGGAGTTGCTCTTCTCGAGGAATATCTTTGTGGCGTTCTCTGTATTTCCTGAATCTGAACGTTGGCCTGCCTTGCTAGATTGGGGAAGTTCTCCTGGATGATATCCTGCAGAGTGTTTTCCAACTTGGTTCCATTCTCCACATCACTTTCAGGTACACCAATCAGACGTAGATTTGGTCTTTTCACATAGTCCCATATTTCTTGGAGGCTTTGCTCATTTCTTTTTATTCTTTTTTCTCTAAACTTCCCTTCTCGCTTCATTTCATTCATTTCATCTTCCATTGCTGATACCCTTTCTTCCAGTTGATCGCATCGGCTCCTGAGGCTTCTGCATTCTTCACGTAGTTCTCGAGCCTTGGTTTTCAGCTCCATCAGCTCCTTTAAGCACTTCTCTGTATTGGTTATTCTAGTTATACATTCTTCTAAATTTTTTTCAAAGTTTTCAACTTCTTTGCCTTTGGTTTGAATGTCCTCCCGTAGCTCAGAGTAATTTGATCGTCTGAAGCCTTCTTCTCTCAGCTCGTCAAAATCATTCTCCATCCAGCTTTGTTCTGTTGCTGGTGAGGAACTGCGTTCCTTTGGAGGAGGATACTACAAACACCTCTACGCAAATAAACTAGAAAATCTAGAAGAAATGGATACATTCCTCGACACATACACTCTCCCAAGACTAAACCAGGAAGAAGTTGAATCTCTGAATAGACCAATAACAGGCTCTGAAATTGTGGCAATAATCAATAGTTTACCAATCAAAAAGAGTCCAGGACCAGATGGATTCACAGCCGAATTCTACCAGAGGTACAAGGAGGAACTGGTACCATTCCTTCTGAAACTATTCCAATCAATAGAAAAAGAGGGAGTCCTCCCTAACTCATTTTATGAGGCCAGCATCATTCTGAGACCAAAGCCGGGCAGAGACACAACCAAAAAAGAGAATTTTAGACCAATATCCTTGATGAACATTGATGCAAAAATCCTCAATAAAATACTGGCAAACCGAATCCAGCAGCACATCAAAAAGCTTATCCACCATGATCAAGTGGGCTTCATCCCTGGGATGCAAGGCTGGTTCAATATACGCAAATCAATAAATGTAATCCAGCATATAAACAGAGCCAAAGACAAAAACCACATGATTATCTCAATAGATGCAGAAAAAGCCTTTGACAAAATTCAACAACCCTTCATGCTAAAAACTCTCAATAAATTACATATTGATGGGACGTATTTCAAAATAATAAGAGCTATCTATGACAAACCCACAGCCAATATCATACTGAATGGGCAAAAACTGGAAGCATTCCCTTTGAAAACTGGCACAAGACAGGGATGCCCTCTCTCACCACTCCTATTCAACATAGTGTTGGAAGTTCTGGCCAGGGCAATTAGGCAGGAGAAGGAAATAAAGGGTATTCAATTAGGAAAAGAGGAAGTCAAATTGTCCCTGTTTGCAGACGACATGATTGTTTATCTAGAAAACCCCATCGTCTCAGCCCAAAATCTCCTTAAGCTGATAAGCAACTTCAGCAAAGTCTCAGGATACAAAATCAATGTACAAAAATCACAAGCATTCTTATACACCAACAACAGACAAACAGAGAGCCAAATCATGAGTGAACTCCCATTCACAATTGCTTCAAAGAGAATAAAATACCTAGGAATCCAACTTACAAGTGATGTGAAGGACCTCTTCAAGGAGAACTACAAACCACTGCTCAAGGAAATAAAAGAGGACACAAACAAATGGAAGAACATTCCATGCTCATGGGTAGGAAGAATCAATATCGTGAAAATGGCCATACTGCCCAAGGTAATTAACAGATTCAATGCCATCCCCATCAAGCTACCAATGACTTTCTTCACAGAATTGGAAAAAACTACGTTAAAGTTCATATGGAACCAAAAAAGAGCCCGCATCGCCAAGTCAATCCTAAGCCAAAAGAACAAAGCTGGAGGCATCACACTACCTGACTTCAAACTATACTACAAGGCTACAGTAACCAAAACAGCATGCTACTGGTACCAAAACAGAGATATAGATCAATGGAACAGAACAGAGCCCTCAGAAATAATGCCACGTATCTACAACTATCTGATCTTTGACAAACCTGAGAAAAACAAGCAATGGGGAAAGGATTCCCTATTTAATAAATGGTGCTGGGAAAACTGGCTAGCCATATGTAGAAAGCTGAAACTGGATCCCTTCCTTACACCTTATACAAAAATCAATTCAAGATGGATTAAAGATTTAAATGTTAGACCTAAAACCATAAAAACCCTAGAAGAAAACCTAGGCATTACCATTCAGGACATAGGCGTGGGCAAGGACTTCATGTCCAAAACACCAAAAGCAATGGCAACAAAAGCCAAAATTGACAAATGGGATCTAATTAAACTAAAGAGCTTCTGCACAGCAAAAGAAACTACCATCAGAGTGAACAGGCAACCTACAACATGGGAGAAAATTTTCGCAACCTACTCATCTGACAAAGGGCTAATATCCAGAATCTACAATGAACTCAAACAAATTTACAAGAAAAAAACAAACAACCCCATCAAAAAGTGGGCGAAGGACATGAACAGACACTTCTCAAAAGAAGACATTTATGCAGCCAAAAAACACATGAAGAAATGCTCATCATCACTGGCCATCAGAGAAATGCAAATCAAAACCACTATGAGATATCATCTCACACCAGTTAGAATGGCAATCATTAAAAAGTCAGGAAACAACAGGTGCTGGAGAGGATGTGGAGAAATAGGAACACTTTTACACTGTTGGTGGGACTGTAAACTAGTTCAACCATTGTGGAAGTCAGCGTGGCGATTCCTCAGGGATCTAGAACTAGAAATACCATTTGACCCAGCCATCCCATTACTGGGTATATACCCAAAGGACTATAAATCATGCTGCTATAAAGACACATGCACACGTATGTTTATTGCGGCACTATTCACAATAGCAAAGACTTGGAACCAACCCAAATGTCCAACAATGATAGACTGGATTAAGAAAATGTGGCACATATACACCATGGAATACTATGCAGCCATAAAAAATGATGAGTTCATGTCCTTTGTAGGGACATGGATGAAATTGGAAACCATCATTCTCAGTAAACTATCGCAAGAACAAAAAACCAAACACCGCATATTCTCACTCATAGGTGGGAATTGAACAATGAGATCACTTGGACACAGGAAGGGGAATATCACACTCTGGGGACTGTGGTGGGGTCGGGGGAGGGGGGAGGGATAGCATTGGGAGATATACCTAATGCTAGATGACACGTTAGTGGGTGCAGCGCACCAGCATGGCACATGTATACATATGTAACTAACCTGCACAATGTGCACATGTACCCTAAAACTTAGAGTATAATAAAAAAAAAAAAATTAAAAAAAAAAAAAAAGAAGGTTTGAAATATAAACAGAATATTGCACTTAGCTTCTTCTATACCTATTTCAAACCTTCCCCCAAATCATAACTAATTCCACAATACAGCATTAGACTGCCTGGTTTTTAGTTCCCTCTGTAAGGGTTGTCTATCTAGATTTTTTTCTCCAAAAGATTGAATTATCTTTCTCTTAAATTGTTAAAATAATTTGAAATTAAAACAGACTCTTCTGCAGGTGAGATGCAAAATGAAGTATTGTGAACATAATGAATGTCATATTATAGATTTGGTTATTGAGGAGTGATGTTTTCCTGGAGGAATAGTGTGAGGTGCAGTGTAAATGTCTCACAGTAGTGTTGATCACTGAGAAATATGAATGACAATGGCCAGAAATGTTTGAGCAAATTTACCATACATGTAAGATAAATTACTGTACAACAGAGCTGTCGTGGAGAACCATTCACCAGTGGACACAAATATTTTGACCATAGGAATTAGATAAATGTATTGTTAATTAGAAATTGAATTAATTTTCAAATGATGAACCAAAAATGTTTTGATTATTAAAATATATGAAGGTCTTTTTCTTAATTAGGATTATTTTTCTGGCTATAACATTTTTCAATAAAGTAATAATAACTATATTTTTCAAATCTAAAAAATTACACAAATGTTTGTTTATAACAATTTTCCTCATCTAGATTTTTTGTTGTGTTAGGCATTTAGTTGCAGTTCAAAATCAGAATTAATCTCAATTTATATAAAAATATGTGGTGGCTTTATTTGTGATTGCATTCACAAATTTTTCAAGATATTAAGGGGGGTGATTTTGGAGGAGGTTGCTTGTGTGTTTAAATAAGTTAAATCCAACTGGTTGGGAGAGGAAAGTTATTTAGAGTCCATATTTTTTTCATATTGTTTTGTCTCTCTAAAATTCAGAAACAGTGAACACACAGTAGCTAGGGCATCTCTAAGTATATAATAAACATTTATTAAGCAAATATTATGAAGTTGGTAGAAACTGTACATGGATAAATTATCTCAATTATTCTCTAAACTAGTCTATATTTTACTTCAGAGATGCAGAAATTAAGTCATATGAAAAGAAGTAACTTGTTCATGGTCAAACAGCAAGTTCAACTTTGAGCCAGGTTTTAGGTGCAAACTACCTGATTCGAGGGCTTGCTGCTTCACTTCTCAATGAGCCATCTCTGATGCTTGATTTTCTCTCAGTAATATTCTGATAACTAATCCCTTTTGATATTTCTAATCATGACTTTCTATTAACTCAAATTTCTGTTTTTCATATCAGCTCTGGTGCTGAAAACAAAGGTAGCTACTTTGAAAATGAACATAGTCAAGATTATGAACAACCAGCCTTTTTAATGCAGAGACACCTACAAGAGCATCTCTACTTCTCTATGTAAAATTTATTGACTAAAAACGTTTCATTTTCCAAAACAATTACTTTATGAGACAATCCTCAGGAAATATAGTGAATAAATATTTTGTTACCCTATTTCTTTGTATAGTCAGTCCCCACTGACTTATCCAGTACTCTTACGTTCAATTAACTCTCTTTTCCCCATTCTGTGTAGTACTTACAGTTGGTGTGCTAGGAAGCAGTCGCTTTTAGCCTGAGGCCTTAGTTGGAAGGAAAGCTGCAATGTGTCCTTTTTTTATTTTTATTTTTTATTTTTTTCAGGACTACAGAGAGAAAGCTATAGTGGGAATTTCTGTAATCTCAACATAAAGTTATGCTATATTGTCATCTACTCAGTGTTCTAGGAATAATTTCATTTTTTCCAAATAGGTATAAAGATAGGTATATAATATAAGAAACTAGAAAAGGGGGCCCTTGATGAGTAGGCAGAGTAAGATGGCAAAAATGAACCCTCAAACAATCATCATCTCAGTATGTACACCAAATTCAACAACCATCCAAGTCATCAGTCTCTGCCTGATGATCCAGGGAATTCTCCTGGATCTTACCCAAGACCACCAAAGCAGTACCTCTAGGAGTCTGCAAGAGTCACAGTGTTACTGGGCTTGGGATACCCTCTAATGTGCATGCAGCTGCAATGACCAAAGACTTAGATCACAACACACAATTCCCTTTGAATATCTGAAAAGCGTTCTTAGGAAGGTTGGGTACAAACAAGCCCAGATTGTGAAGATTAAAATAAATACCTAATTCTTTAATATTTGGATATTGATGAAATACACAAGCATCAAGACCACCCAGGTAAACATGGCCTCACCAAATGACCTAAATGAGGCACCATTGATCAATTCTGTAGTGACAGATATATGTGTGACCCTTCAGACAGAGAATTTAAAATTACTCAGTGAAATCCAAGATAAGAAAGGAATTCAGAATCTTATCAGATAAACTTAGCCAAAAAATTGAAATAATTAAAAAGAAGCAGAAATTTGGGAGCTGAAAAATTCAGTTGAAAAACTGAAAAACGTATCAGTCTCTCGACAGTAAAATTGATCAAGCAGAAGAAGGAATTAGTGAGCTTGAAAACAGGCTATTTGAAAATACATACTCTGAGGAGTCAAAAGAAAAAAGAATTTTAAAAAGAGGCATGCCTACAGGATCTAGAAAATAGCCTCAAAATGGAAAATCCAAGAGTTATTGGCCTTAAAGAGGAGGTAGAGAGAGAGGTCTGGGTAGAAAAAATAAAGAGATAATAACAGAGAACTTTCCAAATCTAGAGAAAGATACCAATATTCAAGTGCAACAAGGTTTTAGAACATCAAGTAGATATAAACTAAATAAGACTAACTCAAGACGTTTAATAATCAAACTCCCAAAAGTCAAGGATAAAGAAAGAATTTTTGTTTGTTTTTTTGAGACAGGGTTTCACTCTTGTCGCCCAGGCTGGAGTGCAGTGGCACAATCTTGGCTCACTGCAACCTCTACCTCCTGGGTTCAAGTGATTCCCCTGCCTCAGCCTCCCAAGTGGCTGGGATTACAGGCGCTTGCCACCATGCTCAACTAGTTTTTGTATTTTTAGTGGAGATGGGGTTTTACCATGTTGGGCAGGCTGGTCTAGAACTCCTGACCTCAGGTGATCCGCCCGCCTAGACCTCCCACAGTGCTGGGATTACAGATGCGAGTCTTAACAGCAGTAAGAGAAAAAAACAAAAACAACAACATGTAAAGGGGCTCCAATACACCTTTCAGCAGATTTCTCTGTGAAAACCTCACAGGCAAGGAGAGAGTTGCAAGATATAATTAACATGCTGAAGAAAAATGAAAACAAAAAAACTTTTATTCTAGAATACTATAGTAAGTGAAAATATTATTTAAACATGAAAGTGAAATAAAGACTTTCCCAGACAAACAAAAGCTGAGGGATTTTGCCAACATAGACCTATCCTACAGGAAATGCTAAAAGGAGCTCTTCAGTCTGACAGAAAAGCATGTTAATGAGCAATAAGAAACCACCTGAAGGTACAAAACACCCTGGTAAAAGCAAGTACACAGACAAGTATATAAAATTATAATACTGTAATTGTGGTATACCAACTATTCATAACTGGAGTAGGAAGGCAAAAAGACAATTCTATGAAAAATAACAACTGCAACAACTTTTTAAGACATAGATATTGTAATAAGATACAGGCTAAAACAACAAGAAAGTAAAAAGTAGGTGGGATAAAGTTAAAGTACAGAATTTTTTATCAGTTTTCTCTTTTCTTGTTGCTTCATTCATTTGTTTTTGTAATCAGAGTTAAGTTGTCGTTAGTTTAAAAAAAATGGGTTACAAAATAGTTTCAAGACTCATGGAAACCTCAAATCTAAAAATCTAAAACAGGCTGGGCATGGTGGCTCATGCCTGTAATTCCAGCCTTTGGGAGGCCGAGTTGGGCAGATCACTTGAGTTCAGGAGATTGAGACCAGCCTTCCCAATAAGGTGAAACCCCATCTCTACTAAAAATATAAAAATTAACTAGGTATGGTGGCAGGTGCTTGTAATTTCAGCTACTTGGGAGGCTGAGGCAGGAGAATTGCTTGAAACCGGGAGGTGGAGGTTGCAGTAAGCCGAGATCACGCCACTGCACTCCAGCTTGGGCAACAGAGTAAAACTTTGGGTCAAAACAAGCAAACAAACAACAAGAACAAAAAAAACTAAAATGGGTACACAAGAAATATAAAGCAAAAAATTAAAGCATATTACCAGAGAAAATCACTTTCACAAAAAGGAAGACAGGGAAAAAGAGAAGACCACAAAGCAACAAAAAAAAAAAACAAATAACAAAATGGCAGTAGTAAGTCCTTACTTACCAATAATAACAAAGAATGTAAATGAAACTAAACTTTCCAATCAAAAGACACAGAGTGGCTGAAAGGATAATAAAACAAGACCCAATAATTAGTTGCCTACACCCTATAGGTGTATACACTTTATATGTGACCTATGTCACATGTGAAGACACTCATAGACTGAAAATAAAGGGACGGAAAAGGTATTCCATGCCCATGGAAATTAAAAAAGAGCAGGAGTAGCTATATCTGTGGCAGGGAAATAAATTTCAAGACAAAAAGTATAAAAAGAAACAAAGAAGATTATTATATAATGATAAATCAGTTCAACAAAATGATGTAAGAATTATAAATATATATGCACCCAATGATGGAGCAGCCAGATATATAAAGCAAATAGTATTAGAGCTAAAGAGAGATACACTCTAATACCATAATAGTTGGAGACTATCAACACGCAACTCTGAGCATTAGACAGACCATACAGTGAGAAAATTAAAATCAGGCTTAATCTACACTGTAGACCAAATGGACCTAATAGATATTTATAGAACATATCTTCCAATGGCTGCAGAATACACATTCTTCTCAGCACATAGATTATCCTCAAGGATAGACCCTATGCTAGGCCATAAAAAATGTCTTAAGACATTCCAAAAAATTGAAATCATATCAAGTATTTTCTCTGACCACAATGGAATAAAAGTGGAATCAATAACAAGAATAATTTTGGAAACTATACAAACACATAGAAATTAAACAATATGCACTTGAATGACCAATGAATAAATTAATGAAATTAAATCAGTGTAAAAATTAAGAAGGAAATTGAAAAATTTATTGAAACAAATTATAATGAAAACATGACATGCCAAAATATATAGGTTACAGGGAAAGCAGCACTAAGAGAAAAGTTTCCAGTTATAAGTGCTTACATCATAAAAGAAGAAAAACTTCAAATAAATAACCTAATAATGCATCCTAAAAAACTAGAAAAGGAAGAAAAGCCACCTAAAACTGGTAGAAGAAGAAAAATAATGATTAAAGCATAAATAAATAAAATTGAACTGAAAAATATAAAAATGAAAAGACTAATGAAGCAAAAAGTTGTTTTTTTGATAAGATTACAAAATTTACAAACCTTTAGCCAGACTAGAAAAAAAAGAGAATATGCAAATAAATAAAACCAGAGATATAAAAGGAGTTAAGTTGATACAGCAGGAATTTAAAGGATCATTAGAGAAAACTGAGAAACTGTATGTCAATAAATTGAGAAACTTAGAAGAAATGGATATATGCCTACACACATACAACCTACCAAGGTTGAACTATAAAGAAATCCAAAGCTTGAGTAGACCAATAACAAGTAACAAGATGCAAGCCATAATGAAGAGTCTCCAAGCAAGTAAAAGCCTGGGACCTGATGCCTTCACTGGTGAATTCCACCAAACACTGAAAGAAGAACTAATACCAATCCTGCTCAAAATATTACAAAAAAAAAAAAAAAATAGAGGAGGAGAGAGTACTTCCAAACTCATTTTATGGAGCCAGTATTACCCTACTTCCAAAACCAGATGACACATCAAAAATGGAAAACCACAGGCCAATTCTCTGATGAATATTGATGTAAATATGCTCAACAAAATACTAACAAACCAAATTCAACCACACATTGAAAATATCATTTATTATGACCAAGTGGGGTTTATCCCAGACATCCAAGGATAGTTCAACATATGCAAATCAATCAATGTGATACATCATATCAACAAAATGAAGGGAAAAAAACCCATATGACTATTTCAATTGATGCTAAAAAAGCATTTAATAAATTCAACATCCCTTCATTTCAAAAATTCTAAAAGAACTGAGCATAGTAGGAACATACCTCAACAGCATAAAAGTTGACATGACAGACCCACAGCTGGTATCATACTGAATAGGGAAAAACTGAAAGCCTGTCTTCTAAGATCTGGAATAAGACAAGTATGCCCACTTTTACCACTACTGATCAACACAGTACTGAAATTCTTAGCTAGAGCAATCAATCTCTTGAATCCAGAGATGTTTCTCTGATACGTTCACTGATGAATTTCTGGTACTAGGAGATTATGTGTCATATGACAGGTGGTCAATAAATACTTGAAAGGGGAGAACATGTGTAGTCTCCTAATATTTCAGGAATTACACTTTCATGTTAGGCCATGAGAGGTGGCATGCTGAGTGAATTAGTTAAGATTTTTTTTTTAAACGGATATAAACATAAGTTATAATAGCTTAAATCTAAAAAGCTGGACTGAAATATTCCAAGTATGTCATCAAGATGCTAAGCCTCTCTCTAGCTACCTTTTGTTCTGTTTGCCTCTGATTAACTTTGTTCTCATACACTTTCTGGTGGCAATGGCCCTTGGTAGTTTCATGGGTTTTGAAGTACATGAGCCTGGCATCATTCCCAATAGTGCCAATAAAAATCAGGGAAAAGACTGCCTGTTTTTGCTGGTTCACGTGTCCATTTCCAAACCATTGATAATGGATGTGGGTTGTATGAAAAGACAAAAAGTCAACAGATTTAGTTGAAAATCTCAACTGGCTTTATTGCAATTCCAGAATCTAGAAACACTTCATTCCCTAAAATAGAATAAGTATTCCAATGAGCTGACCAGAAGAAGTTAGCTTTTTGTTTTGTTTTGTTTTGTTTTTGTTTTTTTTTGTTTTGAGATGGAGTCTCGCTCTGTCGCCCAGGCTGGAGTGCAGTGGCACGATCTCGGCTCACTGCAACCTCTGCCTCCTGGGTTCACGCCATTCTCCTGCCTCAGCCTCCTGAGTAGCTGGGACTACAGGCGCCTGCCACCACATCCAGCTAATTTTTTGTATTTTTAGTAGAGACGGGGTTTCACCGTGTTAGCCAGGATGGTCTCGATCTCCTGACCTCGTGATCCACCTGCCTCAGCCTCCCAGAAGTTAGCTTTATAGACAGAGAAGTCTGAAAGAAAGCAGAAACAAAAAACAAAAAGTGGATCAGCCATTTTAAAATTACTTTTTTTATAACACAGGAACAAGGAGCAGAAGAGTAAAAAAAACAATGATTTGTTAAAATGGACTTACTTCTGGTTAAGAATTAAAACAGAGAGAACTTCATTATCATTCCCATTGAAGATTGAAACTGGCCTGTTTGGAAAATTGGCTTATAGTTCACTCCTGATTTCTTGGAAGGTCAGATAACTTAGTTTTAGTTTGTTGATGTGAAATTTAAGCATGAGTGACTCCATTTTGATTTTTAGTCTAATTTGTTGGGGCCTAGTGCAGCAACTTAGTTCAACACAATGGTCTCCTGTAATTTTTATTTACCAGTTAGAATTCTGTAACTAGTTAAGCCTTGATTCCATATCCACACACAGGAGCCCAGGACACAAGAGATTTTCTAGTTCCTCTACGTGGACCAATGGTTTCTCTGCCCATAGCAAGAAGTCAACAAAAAAAGGATTTCTCCATGTGTATTGAGTTGGAAAAACCTTCTAAATACCATCATGTAACATGCATTCAGAAACCTTGTGTCCAGGGAGTATAACACTGAACAAACCTAAAGGAGGTTATTGGGGAAATAAAAAGAAATATATGCTGCCAATCCAGAAAAACCTCACCAAAACAGGTGAAAGAGAAAAGAAACAGTCTTATTATTGAATAAGCATTACACCAGAATGTGATGCTCATCACAGGCAATTCGCTAAGAGATTGGAAAAACAAAGAAATCTCATTATTTTATATAGTCAAACATATACAACCCATACATTCATGTTCTCAAATAGGCAAAGTAATATAACTTGGCTGCATCATTTGTGACACATTATTCATCCTAGATTCACCTGGCAATTGTGGTGGCCATTTGTATTTGCTATTTATCTTTATCCAAGTGAAAAATAAACTTCTCATATATTTATCACAGGAGGTCGTTTTCAACCTGGATTAAGGTGCTGGCGGAAGTTAAGCTCCCAGTTTCCCATAGGAATTGGAAGGTAGTAGCTCTGTCTCCGTTAATTAGATGGTTTCTGAGTACTTGGAAAAGACATTCCTGGATCATAAATCTGGTGAAAGGTGTATTTTTTTTTAAAAAAAAAGATTTACATACATTTTAAAGAAGAAAAGCACTTGTAATGAGGTTTTCTTATGTAAATATAATCTAAGAAAAGGCGGGGGTTCACTTTATTTTTAGCAGGGAGAACTAGCCTCTTTTTAAATTTTTATTTGCCCTTACAAAGTAAGTTTTGAGAAAGAAAAGAGTAAAATAATAAATAAAAGAGTACATTTTTTCTGTGGACAACTGTAGTCAGTGAATAACTTTTTAAGTAGGCAAAGTGAGTTGGGTGGAAAGAGAGGTCACAATCACACAGAAGTCACCATCTAAAAACAGCACTTTCCACCAAAGTAATCGTTACAGTAATGGTGAATAATGACAGGAAACCAAGTAGATAATATCCCTAAGATAAAGTTCTTTACTATATTTTCTACCACAGGACCAGACCTATAAATCAAACTTTTATAATTCACATTTAGAGATTGTAGCTTAATACAGTTCTTCGAAGACGTAGTAGGTACTCACGTTAAATTTACCACTTTAAAACAAGGAATATCTTTTTTGTATGCTTTTTATTCTTTTTCCGTGTGTTACTATTTTAATTTTTATTATCATAAATATAATAAGCACTTCTGGTTTCATTGGTACTTCTGGTTCATATTAGAATGAACTAATATGTAAAGTCCTTGTACTTCAATATTATATAAAGGCAGTGTGAATTACAACCAGAAAATTAACTCTGTGATTGTACTTTAAAAAGAAAAAGAAAAAAAAAGGTAAGAAAGAATAAAGGAAAGAAAGAAAAAAGAAAACAAATGGAAATCCCCAACTATCAAACTGGGTAGAAAAGAAGAAGAAAGCCAGAGTAGCAAAAACAAGTAAACTGTTTAGCTCGTGGTAATATCACAACAGGCAGTTCATTTTGGATACTGGAGGTTTAATACCCTAAGAGAGACAGTGTGTATGTGTGGGTAGGTGGGTGGGTGGGGTAGGAGGTGGGTGTGCATGCACATGAGCACATCTGAGTGTGTTTGGAGACCTGGAGTGTTGTTAAAGCTGTGAGCCTTATTCTTGTGGGGGATCTATAAATCCTTGAGAGACAGTATAAAAATGACAATTACCAGACCACAGATAAAATTAGAACTCTCACCCACAACTTCTATAGCAACCACCACAGGAAGCCAAACCATAACCTCTGCAGCAATCACCCCTAAAATAGTAGGATTTGCCCAATTACTGCCAGCTTTTCTGATTATTGCTCTTCTCTTTCCAACTCAGGACTAACCAGAAAAATTCAAAGATCTCTTTTCAAACCCATCATATAGGATGCCCAGCATCTAGTTAGCTGGAGTCCAGCTTCTCCACACCAACAAAGTCCATTCAGAGCATATCCAAGCCTTTTGTTCAGTATAAAGCTTTCTACTCCCCTCTCAACCTTTGAGTCTCTTCTAAATGTACCTAAAAGTACTTTCTTGCTATAGCAAGCTCTGAGTAAATAGCCTTTGCTTGATCTCCTTAGGGTGGCCTTTGTTTATGTCCACACACTAAAGGCCTCGGCAGAGTGAAGTGTGAATTTGCTCTAGGTGCATGGAATTTTAGACCAGCCTGTGTATGCGGGACTGCATAAAAAATAAAATAACTCACCTAGAAGATGAATCATTATTGTTATTATTTTAATCCTAACAAGTAGACAAAATGTCCACGTTTATCAAAGGAAACAAAAGAACTAAACAAGAAAATATAGTTAATGGATTACCTTTTCTTACATCAATTGTTTTGTTTCATAGTTGGACCCTGAGTTTGCATAGATTTTTAAAAGAAAAATATTTGTTTGTTGTTTTAATTTGTATACTGTTAGCTCTTTGGGCATATTGGTGACCCTTAATTGTCATTTTTATACACTAAAAAATGATTAGTGCATTTTTCCATTTCCCCTTTGCTATTGTATGGAAATAACTCCTTTCCATCTAAATCTCTTCTGGGAGTAGGAACTCTGTGCAGGAGTTGTGTGAGGCCAGGCAGGACAGGTCCTGTCTAAACGTAGGTTTCCTTTGAGATCTGTGGACACTCCAATACCTAAAAGAAAAGAGTCTTTTTCATACTTCAATATGTAACTAAGATTTTTGTATTTTGTTGTTGTTGTTGTTTGTATATTGGGTAAGTTGATTTTTTTTTTTTTTGTTTATCAGTTTAGAGAAAAGATATCTGTTTTGCCCTATCTTTGCTTATAGTATGTGTTCTGCCTGGAATGGGAGAAGGATGGGAGTACAGAATGATTCCGTTGCCTAGGTTTGTAGTTTTTTGGCTGTCGCTCTTCAGCCCTGCTTCTCACCTCAATCCTGTAGGGTCATTACCCATCCTAGCACAATGTTGCATCTATGTCCCTTGCTCTGACACATTTACCAGCTTATAGTCCATAGACAACCAACATTATATTCTAGGAGTCTCAGATTTGAAGTTGTTCACATTCTTCTTCTGTCTATGGTCTTCATGGAATTTAATAAATTTTCTAATGAATGGTGCATCAACATCACTCTTCCCATCCAGTCACTATCTTCTCAACATTATTAGAAATTCCTTTCCTTCTTCACTTTCAAATTTCATTTTAGTGCAATATTCAGTAAATAGGAAATACATATGCTCAAAATGTGCATAATCTGCATCATAGCCAAAAATGCTTTATTATGCCTGATTTTAATGCTATCCTTATATCATAACTTAAAGAGAATTTCCCCCTCCTTTCTGATGTTCATGAATAAGTTTTCTCTTAGAAAATGACAAAGCAGCATTTGCACTGAACTTTTGTTTCAGTGAGGTTGAGTTCAGACTCAGTTCTGGACTTTCTCTCCTATTGCAATAGACTAAGTAACATCTCCTTTGCCTGTTACAAAGAGAAATGACAAATGCTTGATATGATACATATTCCAATTACCCTGATTTAACTATTACCCATTATATTCTTGTATCACATTATCACATATCTATGTACCTGATAAATAGGTACAACTATTATGTATCTATAATAATTAAACATCTTTTTAAAAAAACTTTCTCCTATCTTCATGATAGGAGAAAATTTTACAACCTAGATTAAGGTTTCCTGGGAAGTTAGGCTACTCTCTTCCCACAGGGAAATAGGGTGCCATCTTTATTTTTTTACATTTCAGAGAGATGGCTTCCAGGTCCTTGAGAAATACAGTCCTGGTCTGTAAAACTGGCAAGAGGTTTTCTAAAGGATTTAAATATCTAGGATCAGACAAACGATTGACAATTACAAGTTTTCTAAAGTAAATGCTTTAAGAAAATGGGAGTCAGGAGCCAAGAATCAGGAAGCAACCTGTCTAAAGTTTTGTGAAGCTGAGGGAAATGTTAGGGCTGTCTTGGTCAAGTGCAATAGATTTCCAGCTAGATTTCATTAACTTCCCTCCTAGACTAGGTCAGTATTTAACGATTAAAGAAACCATTTGGTAGAAAATCCTCGAGACAAGACACCTTTCCTAATTTATTGTTTTTCTTATACCCTAGACAGTTATTTCACTTGCACCACTCATGGAATGAAGTTCACAAAACTAAATAGTGTTTTCTAAAAATGGCTTATCTTTACAGGCATTCATTTTTGTTCTGTATCAGAAAAATGTCCTTCAAATAAACAAGACTATGTAGAGTATTTTATGGGCTGCCACGATTCACTGCTCTTGAAAAGATCTAGTTAATTACAATGAGATATATGTTCAATATCCATCATAATCTCAAAGATGGTGAATTACTAAACAAATATACAGGAGGAGATAATTATCACATCAAATTTTAAATATTTAGTGGAATGTTTAAGATAGTTCACATGTGCAATATAAATTAAGTAAAGATTTAATTGGCACAAGAGATTAGTTTGTGTAGGACACAATAGGATATACATTTGACACACAATTATTTAAGGATTTTAAATTGGAATAGATGGTCCACTTCTATGTTAGGAGATTGGCTGGAAAGCTCTTGGTATTTTTATTTTTTTATCTGCTTGCCTTTTCACTGCTTTGGTTGATCACATAACAACACATATTTAACTAGAAATTTTAGAGTTTGGGTGGCTATAATTCCAGGAGATTCTACCTCTGGCTGCTGTGAGTAAATAAGCAATAACTCATATACAGGTGTGTGACATATAGTGACTGACAAATGTTTACCCTTGAGTGTATTATTGACTTTAATTATTTTAAGTGTTTTTGTAGAGTTATATAACTTAAAGGCATCAAATAACATTGTCTCAAAATAAACAAAGAAAATTTTTTTAAAATGTAAGAATTTGTTAACATGGTAAAGTAACTGATGTTTGAAGTAACCAACATCCCATTTAAAACATGCAAGCACCCCACCCCCACTTCCCATTCCCATCTTGATACAAGTTAGAAAAATAAAGCTAGAAAGAGAGGTCTCCTAGAATTCATTTGCATCATCCTTTTGCCTTTAGGAGGATTTTGCATAACCTTTATCACATATATTTTCTTATCTAGAATGTGTATGTATATATATATTCTATTTGATTAACATTTTTACTAAAATACATATATAGCAACACATATAAAATAAAAATCTAAAACAAGCAACTGAAAGATCCAGTTTATGATCACAGCCACATGCTAAATTTGTCATTGAATAGAGATTACATATTTTGTAATAACAATTTTAGTGGGTTGTAAGAACCCTAAAACTTAAAGTATAATTAAAAAAAATAGAAGTAAAAAAAAATTATATTAGTTAATATAAAAAACAGTTTCTGAACTAAAGCACTGTATAACTAGAAGGCATAGTTTTAAAACTGAGCTTACTAAACATAAATTTCTGAAATTAAAATCTTTATACCAGTCTCTTATGCTTGCAAATGCTGTGCTTATGAACTGTATGCAAACTAGGCCATGGACTACAATGATAACGTATCAATTCTTCTCAAGATTGACTATAGATTATCTTGCTAGTTATTTACAAGTTGATTTACAGTTTATTAAAACTTAACCACAGGGAATTTCATGACTTGTTTTATCAATATTAAATCTTATTTTTGGACAGTTCCATATCCATGCATAGATATTCCCATAGTTATGTATAATATTTGTAGCAAATTAAAATGAGAAAATGCTAGTCAAAGAAAAACCACATTTATGTGACTTCAGGAAGTGACTGTGAAGCACTTGTTTTTATTATTTCATGCTGAATAAATATTCAGCAATACCTATCAGCAAATAAAATGTTTGAAGAGCAAAGGAATTCCTTAAAAAATTCCACAGATGATTTTGGCTTCATTGCAAATATTCTACATCACAAAAATTTTAAGCTGATCCTTGTTTTGACATTAGTCTCTTAAATAATCAAATGCATAGTAAACAAAACATGGTTATGGTTAGCAGAAGAATGACAACCCCAAGATCTCCATGACCTAATCTCCAGGGCATACGAATGTGTTATATTACATCTGAAAAGGGACATTGTAGATAAAATTCAAGTAACAAACCTTAAAACAGGGAAATTAGCCTAGACTATCCTGGTGAGTCCAAAATAGGATCATAAGCAAATAACCTCTGGTTACCAGCAGAAGAAAGACAGAGCAGAAGGAAAAGATTCCAAGCTCTTTTGCTGGCATTCAGATGAAGGGTTCACATGCAAGAACAGAAGAAAGACCTCTTAGAGCTAAAAGCAGCCAAAAGCAGAGAGCCGGGTGGGAAACAGAGACAGATTCTGCAACTGTAAGGAACGAAATTCTTCCCACAACTGAGTGAGCCTAGGAGTGGACTCTCCTCCAAAGCCTCCAGTAGTAACTACAGCCTTGCTAACTAACAATGCGGTTTTAGCGCATGAGACACCTGTTGAGCTTCTAACCTCCAGAACTGCGAAATTATACATCTGTGTTGTTCTAAGCCACTCACAGTGTGTAGGAAGTTGCTAAGGCAGTGACAAAATCTAATGAAATAGGTAAGTTTCACAAGGAAAGGAGTCATAGTTTTTAAATGTGCATTCTCACTTATTTATACATGTAAAAAGGGCCAGAGTTTTTTGGCACACTCTCATTTATTTATGCAATCAACAAGTTTTAATGAAAGCCACTTAAGAGTCAGAGACTGCATAGTACTGTGATAACGTTATTGGAATCAAGGGGATTGAAAATATACCAACTTCCTAAAATATACAGAATTAGCATATAGATTAAGTATGATATCAGAAATTGAAAGCAATAGTATTTATCTCTTCAAAAATTCATCTTACTTTCACAGATTAATAATATAAAGAAACAAAGGTAAGGAAGGGAGGATGAAGAGAAAAAAAGAAAATTCACAGACTACCACTATATTTGGATGTAAGAAGCATTAATTTGCTGTGCAACATTTGAGTGCATGAAATCACATTTCGTTTTTGTTTAAATCAAAGAATGTGTGACTTAAATAATTGCCTGCATGGGTGGCATCATGTATATTATAATTATCATAGGATCCTCTGCATTTCTTTTTTTAAAAAATTACATTTGTATTTTTCAAAGAGGATCTAGGTGAACTTTTGTGAATATATTCACAGGAGAAATTCCTAGAAGCTGATCTTCTCCAGTTTACCATAAAAAAAGTACTCATGGAATCTTTACAATTTTTAATTTACGGTGCACTTAATAATGATATTGCTTTATTTATAAAGAAGTTTTTGTTTGCATTTGTTGAATCTTTTGAAATTTATCTATTCTATCTAAACTGAAATCGAATTAATGGGATTAAATTTTAAAAACCCTACCCTCATCCCAGTTGAATCTATGTTATTCTGTTTTGTTGTTATTTCTTTTTCTTTCCCCCTTCCCCTCCCGCTCCCCCTCTCCCTCAGCTTCTCATTTTCAGTACCTGGGCAAGAGCTTTTTGCAATTCAATTATTAAGCTATTAATAGTGTAAAGAGTAATAATTCGTAGCTTATTCTCTTTCCAAATGTCCTTCAATTCTTGAACAATAGATGTGTTTAAATGTAAGTAGCTCGTAGAATGGTTGTAGTTATTTTTTCTACATTCTACTCTAAAGATGTTTGCCATCTCATCTCAGTTTTAGGTTCCCTGTGCCAACACTTGTTCTTGAAATTGGGATGAATAACACTGGAATGATAATATCATAATTATTATAATGGTCTCTGTTTCTCAAGACAGCAGTGCTATATAACTTATTTCCCCAAATTCTCTTCTGACATTTTTGAATTTGCATTGTTGACATAAAGAAAAAAATAAAGATAAGCAATTCCTAAATACAGACAGTTGACTATAAATAATAACTTGGCTTTTGAAAACTTAGTCTATGAAACCTGTTACGTACACCCTATTTTTTTTCAGAAAGCCAAAAATATGCAAAAATATTTACATTATTGGACTTTTCCTATGGGCAAGGTAAAATGAATTTTGTTGATGTTTACTCAAAGAATAGGAGTTAGGGAGTCCAAAGAATTACAGTGGAAATTCTGGCCAGGGGAATATGGTGTCCTTAATTCTAATAAAACATATTTCTTCTGTTGTCAGCTGTGCCCACTGTTGTAGGACCTCCCAGTCTGCTCAAAGATTCTCCCATCCAGGTTATTTGCTGCTCAAAATTAGTTACTAGTGGACAGGGATGGTGGTAATGGTAGTCTTCTGCATAAGGGACAGCTTTTTTTTGTCCCGAGTTATTAACTTTATATATATATATATATATATATAATATATATTCTCTCTCTCTCTGTTTATTTAACATTTCTGGTTTTGAGAGGAAAAACACCCTTTTTGATCTTTTGAAGGTCTTAAGTCTATAAAGAAAAAACAACTGAATTTATCTAATACCTAACAGGTTAAGGTTATTAAACTTAAAACTGAAGACAAATATCTATTTATTCATTATGCCATGCAATCAGTAATATAGCACTTTGAGTAAAATGAAAGTTTGCTAAATATAACTCATATCTAAATGCTACCAAGAAGCCTTAAACTGGCATTTGAACATAGATTCAAATAATCTTTACTGAGCACCTGTTATGAACACTACGTATTGAAGAAGATTGTCCTGAAAAACTTTATGATCTATTGGAATATAATGGTATATAAAGTAGTTTAATGGATTATCATTTTATGATAGACATTTACATTGAGAGCTTTAAGACCATACAGGAGGGAACAAATGCCAATTATATTTATGATAAAATAAGGCTTTCTGAAGCAAATAGGGTGGTCAATAGAAAAGATGTGGGGAGAGAATGATAGTTTTGTTTCAGGAGCATAATGTGCAAGCTAAGAGGAAAGAACAAATCTAGGGAATTTAGGAAATTCAAATATCTCAGTACAGCAGGACTTAAGAAAAATAGAGAACCAATTCTATAGTTTGCATGATATTTAACTGTTTCAAAATCATTATGTCAGTGAAGTAGAATATGTATGATATACTTTACTTGTTTAATGGATCACTATAGCAGCTCCCTTTTAGTATTTTTTTTTTTTTTCACAAAAATGTTTATGGTGGATTTGGTCAATATCATCCAGACTCTACTCACATTTCCTCCTAGTATGGCTTCGAGTACTCTGTTGTCAGAAAGTGTAAAACAAAATTTGCACTTAAGCCTTGGACGACAGAAATGAGACAGAGGCAATCCTCTCGTTACTTTGGCTGTTTTCTTCTGGAAAGCAAGGATGTGAAGATGGTTTGGTCTGAAGTGGTTTTCCAATGCCCCAACTCTATGCTGAGGGGTTACAAGGTGACAGAGTCAGTCAGTAGGCCAGAATTTATGTTCAGTGTCCATCACTGGCTGGTGTGTGTCAAGACACACTTGTAGCTGTCGTTACAGTGGCTTCCTGATCCTAGCTTCCCAAAGAGTAAATAGAAGATACGCTTCTAAATGCAATAAATACATTAGCGATTTCCTAATAACCTATTTTCTAATTCGACAGTGGTCGTAGCTTTAGAAGATATGCTTCTTAATGCAATAAATCCATTGGCAATTTCCTTATAACCTATTTTATAATTGGACAGTGGTCGTAGCTTTATGATCCCGGAAAGTTGGACATGTTCTATGTGTCCTTCTTGAAAAGCCTATTATTTTATAATTTCCTCCAGCCTTTCCAACTGTCATCTCTCTTACTAAAATATGGTACAGTTGTCTCTGTCTCCTAGACTGGACTTAGCCTAGGACATTTTTTTTTCTTTTCTTTTCTTTTCTTTTTTTTTGAGACGGAGTCCTGCTCCGTCGCCCAGTCTGGAGTGCAGTGGCGCAATCTCGGCTCACTGCAAGCTCCGCCTCCTGGGTTCACGCCACTCTCCTGCCTCAGCCTCCCGAGTAGCTGGGACTACAGGCGCCCGCCACAGCCCCCGGCTAGTTTTTTGTATTTTTAGTAGAGACGGGGTTTCCCCGTGTTAGCCATGATGGTCGATCTCCTAACCTCGTGATCCGCCCGCCTCCATCTTCCAAAGTGCTGGGATTACAGGCGTGAGCCACCGCGCCCGGCCAGCCTAGGACATTTCTATAAACCCAAACTTAGGAAACAAAATCTTGACTAAACTGTTAGCCCACAGAAATTAAAAAATCTTATTTAATCAAATAAGATTAAACAACAGAGACACACAATACACATTTAAAGTGGTTTTGTCTGTAGGCAATTTTGGTTTAAGCCATGAATCCGGGAGCTTGTTTGCAACAGTCAATAATTTACTTTAGTTGGTTTTTGTATTCATTTCTTAGAAAGTAGTTACAACAGATGCATACTTCACCAAACAGAAAGTATCTCTATTTTCATATTAACATAGTATATGACACCTAAAAACCTTAAACTTCCAGAATATAAAATGAGAAATTAAACTAATTCCTTTTTGTCTACATCTGACTTGACATGTCATATTAATAGTAACAGCAAAGATATAGAAAAGGGAGATTCTATTTAAACCAACAGGAAGGTGTCAACATTTTGTTAAAACAATAGTGGATGAACTAGGCCAGTATTTCAACCATTGATACATAAAATGATACAATTTAACTATATTGTAGGTAATATCTATAAGCAAACATACTCTAGGTTATTATATTTTGTCAGGCATATTCCAATACAGATATGCAGGGAATTTAAATATAGTATTCAAGTGGGAGAAGGTAGCTGATAAATTCCCTGAAGAAATATGTAGCTGAGATATAGGATAACGTTGACAATTTATGCAGATCTGTAAGAGGAAATTAACCTGCACCATGAAGCATGTAGCATCACTAATAAGGTAGAAAGTGGCCTATTTGCAATGAATGATGTCAGATGCCCTTTAGGCACTAAAGTGAAAGCAAGTTTCTCCTTGCAGCAAAGCCTCCCACTTTTAACTATAAGCAAGTAAAGTCCTCTTTAGCATCAGCAAAAGCACAATATGTCAAGAAGAGAAAAGAAGCTTCCAGTTATAGCTTTCAAGAAGGAACAAGAGTGTAATAACAAGATATGATTATAATCAATGAAAAAAAGGAGCAACTGAAAGCCTGCTGTTTCAAAAATGAAAATACAAGAAAGATAGAAATAATTGACCTCTTCTTTGTACTTTTATGCAGGTAAGTACAAATATTACTGTTGTTATAAGGTTACCAAAGTTCCATTTACTCATTCATTCAACAAACCGATATATCTTCTGTGTGTAATGCCCCGTGTGATGTAATGGAAGTAGAGACAAAGTGACCAGAACATATAAAGAGGAGAATTCCCTTAAGTGAAATACAGGTAACATTAGTGTCTGACATTATGGGACGAATGTTAACTAGATAAAAATCATACAAGGATGTTTATAGACCACAGGCTGTGAAGAAAATGTAAAAGGATATGGGATAGAACCCAAGATGATTTTAATATTTAGAATTTGTATAAAGAGAGAGAAAAGACTCAGAGAAGAACAAGGAGACTCTGTTGGTACAGGGTTGGAGAGACAAGATATGTTTTCAGGATTGAGAAATTAATAGATTCGAATAGTGCCCTTCTGTATTGTGTCATGTGTAGGGAGAATGGAAAACACTGGATCTGGCAACTTCAAAGTCACTGATGACCTTGCCCAGATTGATTATGGTAGGTAAGAGATAAAAGATTTACCATCTAATGATTTCTCTTTTTACAGTCACATGTGAGGCAAGCTCATCTGCTAAGATGGCAGAATAGAGGTGGAGTGACAGATATTTGAAGAAAGAAGAAGATAAAATGTATTCTCAGAAGTGAGGAAGTGAGTCTACCACTAGAATAGGAGGGTGAGGGTGATCAGGCAATGTGGTAAGCCTGTTTGCCTCCCGAAATACTGAACATTAGGTAAGACTAAGGGGTTAGAGCGAATATGTAATTCAGCTGCTGGGTTACAGGCACAGAGAAAGCATTATTTATTATTATTATTATTTTTTTTTTGAAGACTGAGTCTCACTCCATCACCCAGGCTGGAGTACAGGTGGCAGCATCTCGGCTCACTGCCTGAACCTCCCGGGTTCAACCGATTCTCCTGCCTCAGCCTCCCGAGTAGCTGGAATTAAAGGCGACCACCACCATACCCAGCTAATTTTTAAAATTTTTAATAGAGATGAGGTTTCACCATGTTGGCCAGGCTGATCTTGAATGCCTGACCTCAGGTGATCCACCCACCTCAGCCTCCCAAAGTGCTGGGATTACAGGTGTGAGCCACCATGCCTGGCCTAGAAACCCTATTTTTTAGTTCACTCACAGTTGGAATTTTGAAATACAAATATTATGGAGATGGGGGTGGTAAGTAATTGGGTGTGCAATGAACTTAAGTACACTTATGGGGGAGTGACTATATTGATGGACTGTAGACCTTAGGATTCTTAAAAGAAAGTGAAGGAAGGAAGTGGATAATGGATGAATTATGAACAAAGAGTGAGACTAGTAGACGAGTGGATGTCATGTTTCAGAAGTGGCAAAAGAGTTGTACCGTGAGTACTTAAAGAAAACTAAAGGGAAAAATATTTTTGAAAGCTGAGGTTCTTGCATTTTAACTCCTTAGGAGGAGAATGTTTCTGATGATGATAATTGTTCTGAGAGTGGTTATAAAAGAGAGTAGGTGAAGTTTTAAGGAAAATTTTATTAGAGATAAGAGAATGAAGAAACTGAAAGACTGAGTGTCATCTGAAATAAATATATATGTGGATATTGAAGTTGCCCAGAATTATAACAGCAACTCTGGTAAAAGACAACTTTGAGTCAAGAGCTGAGTTTTCACTGAATCAATGGAAGTGAGCCAGAGATTGGTTTATGATGGAAAAAAGGAAGATGAGTGAGTAGTTCACATTGAATGGGTTTGATCCTTAAAGAAACAGAATTTTTTTTTATCTTTGGAAGAGAGAAGGATTTAATCATTTGAAAGTTATATTAAGGTAACATTAAGGTAACATGACAGCTGTGCGTATCCTATGGAACTGTGGTAGGACAGAAAATAAAATAGACGCCATCAGCTTGAGGTGGCTACAAAGGAGAATTCAGGGCACAATCAAGTTTCTTTAAGGACAAAGAGGTAAAATAAACATTCTGAGAAGAGTTTCAGAATGCCACACAGTTTGCTTATCATTGATTTGAAGCTCTCCAGAAAAAAAAGAACAATAGCTTATGATGTATGGATTAGGAACTGGTTCAGATTGGGGAGACAGAGAAAAGTTGGGACATGAGAGTTCAGGTCATAATGCATGCCTTGAGGCCTGAGGGAAACAGAAACATGCCACATCATGGGATTGATCTTGGTCAGAACTGAAAGCTGGGTGGTCAGCGCTGGTTCCATGGGCAGTAATGATTTCCTCTGTTTTTTTTGTTTTGTTTTGTTTTGTTTTTAAAACTCTGTAATGATTTACTCTATATCCAGGAGAGGTATACACTGAAACTTCAGAGTTGGCAGTATAGACCTGTATGACAGAGAAAGACAGTTTTGCTGTCCTGCCACTTATTTCATTCTATCTCTCACTGTGCTTGGGTCACACATTGTCTCATCTTCTCTGGAGTTTATAACTCCTCTAGAACAGTAATCAGACTTATTTATGTTTCCACTTTGCATTTTGCTTGCCCTTGTAGCAGCATGCAAAAAAATAATTTTTCTTCTTAATTGGGTAGGAGACATAGAGATTACATGACACAAATGCTCCCTATTGATACAACTTTTCTCTATTTAAAAGAGTGACATTAATTTTAAAATCAAAGTTATTCATGTGCAGTTGACCTCTGAACAACATGGGTTTGAACAGATCCACTTATACATGGATAATTTTTAACCAAGTAAGATTGAAACTACACTATTCAGGGGCTGTGAAAGCCACGCATACTGAGGACTGACTTTTCTGAACGTGGGCTCTGAAGGGCACGCTGTGGGACTTGAGTAAGTGGGGATTTCTGTATCTGCGGAAGTCTTGGAATCAATCCCCCTCACTCTTGTACAGAAGGACAACTGTAGGACACTTTAAGGAAACACATACTTTTACAGAGGTTTGTATGATGAAGAGTGCTCTCCAAGATGCACTCTCCTTTTCATTGACTCACGTGTCATGTAGCTGATTCTCTTGGCATTTACCTTCATATCCTAAGTTATTTAGTCACCTTCTGACATTCTGCCTTTAGACATCATCTATTCTTACGTTGAGATTATTTAGACTTGGAGCTAAATTTTCTAAGTCAAAAATTTAGAAATAATCAAAATGCCTATTTCTTAGTGAAAAACATTTTTTCATTTGTTTTTTTTTAAATAGAAGCACACGCACATATAGACCCCCTCAAAATAACATTGATCCTAGAACACTGCATGCTTCCATTTGAACTGTAGAATAAACAGCTTTTTATTTGTCCTGATTTAAGATGCATGGTAGTGAGATAATAGTTTGAAGCCACATGTCCATTTGAAAATGGAATTTTTACTAAATGTCACACTGTAGCTCTCCGCTGTTTTTCTAGAGAAAGTATATTGGTTCCCTGAAGGAAAATATACTTATGGAAAGCTATATCCTATAACTCAAGGGTAATGTTGTATGCCAGCTTTGAACCTGAAAGATCTCCACCCTGCTGCACATAACCCTTTGTAATGTAAATGCAATCGAGTGCATATAAACTGTCAGATTCTTGTGCAAAAATGGTCTAATTTACTTGGTATCAAGCTTATGCATAAACAGTAACAACACTGTGTGCATGCATAATAAAAAATACACGGTTTCTTAGCAATTACATTTCTGGTAAGAAATATACAACATTATGAGTACAAATCAAAGAATATACAATGTGTGTGTGTGTGTGTGTGTGCTTACACACTGATTATTTCTAAGTGGTAGTATTATGAATAACTCATGCTTTCAGTTTTAGCTCATTTAAAAATATTCATTTCTCTAAGGAGTATGTAGAACTTTTATTATCATAAATAGTACATGTGTATTTTTAGGTTTACCAACTAAGGAAATTCTTAGATAATTCATAGGAATCCATTCAGTAGGTTTTGGATGTTTGGACCTGACTCTCACAGGTGAGAAATAACTGTGAGAGTTTTGGAAATACAGATTTGTAATCATCATTGCATAAACCATAAAGCTGTAGATTGTATGAGGCCCCTCAGTGGGGTCAAAATAAAATAAGAAGAGGAAAAGGCCAAGAAGATAGGCTTAATGAATTCTACCATTTCAAAAGCAGAGAGAGAAAAGAACCTATTTAAGATACTGAGAAAAAAAAGTCCAAATATAAGGGAAAGTCCAGAAAAAGTACTCCTTTCAAGAATATGGGGAAATATCAAATGCTACATAGAAGCCAATTAAATGTGGACAAAAATATGTTGATTTATCCTATCAGTAAGACAACTGGAAAACTATAATAATTAATGGAGTGGCAGAGTCAGATTCAGGATTTTAGGGTGTTGAAGAGAAAATAAGAGTAAAACGCAAAGCTAATACATATAGATTATAATCTATTAAGACGCCTCAATGTAAAGGAAAATGCAAAGATAACTTGATATAACAGGGTGTATCCCAAGGACAAAAAGAGCAATTGATAGGCATCTGAGAAAACAGAGATTAGTCACCTGGCATTTTCTCCCAAACTAGTTAGGCACAGGCCAATCTGAAGGCTGTTAATTAAATCAGGCAAAGGATAGTTACATGTCTTACACTCCGAAGTGTGAATGTTAGAAGTTAACTTTCATGCCTTAGCAAAACAGGTACACATGATAGTGACTGGAGGAGACCACAGTTGTGGAAAATGTGAAGATAACATATAGAAATAAAAGTTTCCGTTTTTCTAAGGTAGAGGTTCTCTAACTTTACAATGTATAGGAATCATCTGAAAGACTTGTTAAACACAGATACTGGGTTCTAACTCAAGAGTTTTTCAATTCATTGAAATGGAGATTGGTCTGATAATCTGCATTTTCAACAGGTTCCTAGATGATCGTAACTGCTACTAGAGTCCACACTCTGAAAACCGTTGTTTTCAGGGATCAGTATCAACTAGGAGCAGGTTGCTGAATTGTAATCCTATATGATGTAATAATTCAGTCTTTGAAGGTTAATTCTCAATTTCTTTAGGTAAAGTTTCTAGATCACTTAAATTTAACTTTTATGTCTCCCACCAATAATTTTTTTTCTAAATAATAGCTCTCTGTCCACAGAAAAGGTATTTAAACAATTTAAGAGGACAAAGGAGTCCCTCATCGTTACTGGACCTATGTGATGTACTCAGGGATGTTTATTTGTTTGTTTTTGGTGTCTGATATGGGCTCTTTGGTTAGAAACACTTCTAATGTGCAGCTATTCCAATCCTTGAGTATATTGCTTGCATCTTCTGCTGAAGTCTGTGAATCACATTACATGTGTTCACCTGTTTTGTGTTGACTGTCACTTTTGTTGGGGACTATGGTGCTCTCTGCCTGATTGGCCTCATCAAAACTCACTATGGCTCTGAGACTTTTATGGTGATTTTGCCTTGCTGTCTATTTGGAGCATAGCTTCAGTTTACTAAACTCTTAACATACTTTCAATTTAGATATTTTCTGCATCACCTTCCAGGCCTCATAAAACTTGTAAATATCTTCCATGAATACACACAGGAAAAAAGAATAACTTGAGCTAAATTTATGTGACAGTACACCAAGTTTGGGATTAGCCAGAAGAAACCAAGAGTAGAGAGAGTGGACCCTGTCTGCAAGTATCCATTCCTGCCTCCCTGACCACTCCCATTTCTTCCTGGCACCAGTCTCTAAACCAGAAATGGTAGACTAAGGGATTTATATCTCCTCTCCAAATATACTCCTTGCCTTTTCTGAAAAATTTGCTTTAGATATTTTACAATGTGGTAAAAAATTTAGAAAAAACATTTTATGTCAAAACATCTCATTTTTAAGCCTATTGTATTGCTGTATCATTAAGATGTTGTTTTTGAATATGAAGAATTTTAATCATTTATCTCTTCAAGGATGCTAGAGTAATCATTTCCCCTTACCAATGTTCTCTTTTCACCCCAGGGCTGAAAGATACCGTAAATTGATTAGAAACAAATCATGTACACACAAATAGAAACATAATAGACTTACAGATATATTAACCTATAACTTTATCAAATAAATAAAGGATATAATAATTGGAAGGCATGAATATATTAGCCTTAATAATATATGGATATTAAGAAAATAGACTATATTAAGAAAAGTGAAGTATCTAGTTAAAACTATAAAAAAAATTCACATCCAGTAGTTTTATATAAAAGAGAGGCAAAAGGTGAGATATATTACAGTATTTTAAAAAATACTTATTTTGCTGCCAAAAATATTAAATTTGTGTCCAGAGGCTTATTCTATTATATATTGTTAATGTGGCCAGCTTCTAGCAGAATCAGATGTACTCTTAAACTGTGAAATTTAATTGTGGTCCCTCACTTGTATGAAGCATTTTGAGTGTACAAAGCAATGTGTTCCTCTGGTCATCTGTTAGTGTAATATTTGCAAAAGTACGATATTTTTATATTCTTTTTTTAAACAATTGGTATGCTAGATTAAAGATGGCTTCAGGTTCTGTGCTAATCCCCCCTTGGAGAGATGGAGATTAATTTTCCTCCCATTAAATCTGGGCTGGTTTAGTAAATTGGTTGACCAATACAATGTAGCAGAACTGTGACATTCTGGGACTTCCAGTGCTAAGTTATAAGAAGCTTTATGTATTTTTCCTAAGGTTTTTCCAATGCTCACGCTGCAGGAAGCCAGACACCTTCTATTATGTCCAACCTTATCGAGACCACCAAGCTGTGTGAAAGCTAATCTAGTTACTTGGAGAAGCCACAGGGGAAGAAATGCAGGTGATTCTTTAGCTGTCTTGGTTGTATGAACCCTGGCACCAGACTGTGAGTGAAGATGCCATCTTGAACATTCTAGCCCTAGTATACATCATGTGAAAAAGAACCAAGGGTCTGGTATCATGGCCAAGCTGAGCTGGTCCAGACATCTCTAGCCATCCAAGACACCCTAGCTGAGGTCTCAAACATCATACAACAGAGGTGGTCTCACCCCTCTGTGCCCTTCTCAGACTCATAATCCAAAGAATCATACACATTAAAATGGTATTTTGTGTTCCTAAATTTAAAATTGGTTATGCATCAATAGATAAATATAAGTGGGAATTTTAAAAAATCTACAAGTCTAGAATGTTTTAGGTTTGATACCATCTCCCACATTAACTGTTGAGAAAAGGGCTCAGCTTGTGCTGGATGAAAATTCTATCACTTTCTAATTGAGAGTCCTTATCTTTAAACAATTCATTGATATATTCACATTTTTAAATGGCATCACCAATAACTTAACGATTTCTGGTCTGGCATATAAGGATTTTAGGAGTTACTACTCCAAGTTAACAAAAAATAAAAAGCTGAACGAACTGAAAAATTAATTTCTCTAAGATCTGTAAAAGAAGTAAGGTCGTAGGGCAAAACGCTGCCCCCAAACTGGGAGACAAAGAAGCAAATACAGACAATCTCAACTTACTGGAGAAGAAACCCGTGAGCAGAAACCTTCACATCAACCAACGCTGGGGCTGGAGAACCGAAACCGAAATGAATTGCTGGATGCTCAGTGTGCACAAGTGTGGGAGTCACATACTCCAAGGGAAGCCTGTGATGATGGTAGGGTTTCCCACACTTTTAAAAATTTTACCTCCAGGAACGTGGCCAGGTTCTCACAGTGAATATCAGAGAAAAATCTTCTCATGCTTCTGTCAGGCGGAGCGGAACTGTAGCCATTTTGAAAAGCACCAGAATATTCTGTTCCATTAAAAAGTCTGCATAAGGAGAAACTATTTAACCAGAGCATAACCTGCTAGAGTTTTATCAGAGTCTAAATGACTTGGTTAAAGGGAAATACCCAACTCTATTTCACTTGGGTATTTCCCAAGCCATCGTGTTTCACTTGGGGTAGGGGAGGTGCAGAAGCATATGCTAAGTTGAAAGTTAAGAGTTACAGGCTGCTTCCCCTCCCCATACGCCTTACCACCATAGTACTAAAAGCCTATTTATAGATGTCTCTTACCTTATACATTCTGTATGGCAATCATGCAAGAATTACAAGGCATACTGAAAGGCAACAACCACAGTTTGAAGAGACAAAGCGAAAATTAGAACCAGACACATATATAGCAAAAAAATGGGATTAAAAACCTCGGAATTTAAAATAACTATGATTAATATCCTAAGGGTGTCAATAAATAAAACAGATAGTTTTGCAACAACAGATGGGCAATGCAATCAGAGTGGAATTTCTTATAAAGAATAAAAAGAAAATGCTACAGATCAAAAACATTGTTACAGAAATGAAGAATACCTTTGATGGTCTTACTAGTAGACCAGACACAGTGAAGAAAGAATATCTGAGACTGAGGATATCAAGAGAAACCTCCGAAACTGAAAAGCAAAAAAAAAATAGACTAAAAACACCGAGCAAACTCCCCAAGAACTGTGGAACAACTACAAAAAAGATGCAACATGTGTAATGGAAGAAGAAGAAAGAGAGAAAGGAATACAAGAAATATTTGAAGCAGAAAATCAAAGATAAAAATAAATCTCTAAAGAGATCAGATTTTTAAAAAGTACTGTATCTCCAGAGGATCAAAGATAAAATTAAAGTCACCTTCTCTTCAGAAACCATTCAAGCAAGAAAAAAGTTGAGTACAATATTTAAAGGGCTGCAAGAAAAAAAAACACCAACTTAAAATTCTGTGTCTTGCAATATTATTCTATTAAAGTGAAAGAGAAATAAAGACCTTCTCAGACAAACAAAAATGTGTAGTCAGTAGACCTGCATTTCAATAATTGTTTTAAAGTTATTAACAGAGAAGGAAGAAGATACAGGCCAGAAACTCAGATGCACATCAAGAATGAGGCATGAGAGGAGAAATAAGTAAAGATTCCAGACTAAGACCATATGCCTTTCACAAAAATTAACTCAAGATAGATCTTAGAACTAAAGGTAAACACAAAACTATGAAACTCCAGAAGAAAACATAAGAGAAATTCTAAATAACCTTGGGGTTGGTGATGACTTTTTACATATAACACCAAATGCACAATACATAAAAGAAATAACTCATAAACTAGACTTTATTTTAAAAATTTGCTCCATGAAAGACACTGTGAAAAGAACAAAAAGACAAGCCAGGGCCTTGGAGGAAATATTTTAGGAAGACATACCTTGCAAAGGGCCGTTATCTATTATAATGAATTAAAACTTCACAATATAGAAATGAACAACTTGATTGAAAAATGGGACAAAAACCTTAACAGACACTTCACCAAAATAGATATACAGATAGCAAATAAGCATGTGAAGAGATGTTCCACATCATTTATCATCAGGGAAATGCAAATTAAAACAAAAGTTAGATACCATTATGCACCTATTGGAATAATTAGTATCCAGAACATAGACAACTTCAAATGCTGGCAAGGATGTGAATCTAGAGAAACTACCATTCATTGTTGATGAGAAGGCTAAATGTTATAGCCACTTTCAAAGACAGTTTGCTATGTCTTATAAAACTTAGCGTAAATTTAGTATACAATCCAGCTTCTTGGTAGTAACAAATTAGTAGCAATTTTAAGTTCACACAAAAACCTTCAGACGAATGCTTTTAGTAGCTTTATTTATAATTGCCAAACTTGGAAGCAACCAAAATGCCCTGAAAAGACATGGCAGAAACTTAACTACATACTTTTAAGTAAAGGAAGCCAGTATAATAATGCTACATACTGTATAATTCAAACTATATGACGTTCTGGGAAAAGGCAAAACTATGGAGACAGTAAAAACACCAATCATTGTCAGGGGTTAGGGTGCAGGGAGGGTTGAATAGCTGGAGGAATTCTTAAGGGGTAAATTTATTCATTATGATACTAAAATGGTAAGTACATGTTGTTATACATTTTCCAAATCCACAAGATGCAGAACATCAGAAGTGAACCTTAATGTAAGCTATGGAATTTGGATGATAATGGTGTATCAGTGTAGATTAATCAACTGTACTGGTAGGGGATATTGACAATGATGAAAGCTACGCTTGTTAACTTTATGTTAAATTTTATAAGACACTACCAAATTGTCTTTGAAAGTGGCTATGACATTTAGCCTTCTCACCAACAATGAATAGCAGTTTCTCTAGATCCACATCCTTCTCAGAATTTGAAGTTGTCTATGTTCTGGATACTGATTATTCCAATAGGTACATAGTGGTATCTAACTTTCGTTTTAATTTGCATTTCCCTGATGACATATGATGGGGAAGGGATATGGAAAAGCTCTCTACTTTCCATTCAATTTTGCGATGAACCATAAACTGTTCTAAAAATTTTGACTATTTTTTAAAATATCATATTTTAAAAATCTTAAGGTATAGGATGAATGTGGATTGTAAAGTTGAAGAATCAATATCTCACATTTCTAAGTACAAATACTATCAACTCTAAAGAATCTAGCTGTGTTAATCAAATTCAATTAAATTATAGCTTGGTGACTATAAATGAAGCTGAAGGATACTACAGAAATGCTAAGTTTCTATAATTTTCTTGTAAGAAAAGTAAATTATATTCCTACAGAAAAAAAAGTTAACTCTTT
This sequence comes from Homo sapiens, assembly GCF_000001405.40. NCBI lineage: Eukaryota > Metazoa > Chordata > Mammalia > Primates > Hominidae > Homo > Homo sapiens. The sequence goes on from NC_000013.11 coordinate 83,995,807, forward strand.
TTTTTGTTTTGTTTTGGGAGCAATGTTGGTAAAAATTTGTCTGTTTTGAAATATTAAAATTTTTATCACTTTTAAGATAGTTCATAAAAAATGTTCAATGTTAAATTACCTAAAACCAAATCTGCACTCCTTTCACACATAATAACAATGGTTTTAGAACTGTAGCCAAGCATTAAATAATATCGATTGTGTATCTTCTTGTTAAAATGAAAAATAGGCTTGTGGAGAACATGAAGGGGACTTCTGGACTAATGATGAGGCTGCCAGGTGGGAGGGGGTTCCCGGCAAAACTCCAGCTGGCCTGCGCACTGGGGTGGAGCCTTGGGAAGTTCTCGCGGTTTGCCGTGGGCTCAGCCCCTCCTCTTCCTGTGTGGAAACTGGGATTTGAACTGGGAAGGTGGGAAGCAATCTAGCAGGGGCCTCTGGGCTTGCGGAGAGTCCCTGTTTTCCCTTTTTTCTTTTTCACCCAATAAAACCTTGCTTTTCTCACCCCTCAAACCATCTGTGAACCCAGACTTTCTAGGCCATGGAACAAGGACCCCATCTTTATCTGAACTAAGGAAAAGTCCTGCACCATTTTGGCGCGCAACGTGGGGGTTCGAGAAGCGGTGAGTGAAATGCAAACCAAGACATCTTTTTTTCCCTCTGGTTTCTGAGCTTCTTCATCCTCAAACTAATGAGCTTATGGGAAACCGCACCCCTACCCCTTGTCGCTTCTGGGAATCAGGCCTTTTCATGGCCTTTTTCGTTTCTTGTTTCAGGACAGACCAGAAAGCAGCAGCTTCCCGCCGCCTGCCGCCCTCACCTCTGTGCCAGGACCTGGACGCATGGCCCAAGTGTCCCACACACAGGCGGCTGGCTGGTTCCCAGCCACATACCTCCGCAGCCTTCTGCTTCCCTGGCCAAGGATTTTAACTCTATTGGACAATAATTAAGCTTAAACTTTTCTCCCAGATGGAGGAACAGTTGCATAAGAATAATCTTCCCCAGGCATTTTTAAACTGTTTTTTCATCCCCTTCTCTACCCCATCAGCAGTTAACTTTTAAAGTTCTTTTTTTTTTAGAAGACATTTTTCTAAGCCAGGCCCCCCAACTATCTCTGTTTATATTCTCTGCAAAGCTTTGGTTGTGAAAGCAAGCCTCCATCTTGCTTTCCATCCTGGAGGCATGGCTTGTAACTGTGGTGGCAAGGCTTTGTTTAGCAATCCTGCTTTAGGGAATAAGTTCCTTTCTGGTTTGATATCTACATGTTTTCCTAGCCCTGTCTCTTATAGAACCCCACCTGGGAACTGGGTTTTTTCCTGCCTGTCTGTGTCTGTGTAATGTCTGTAAAAACAGCTCTAATTAATTTGGCTTAAAGAAAGACAAGCGCTTGGATCGAATATTTTTTGAAGGGAAGATAAAAGCTGTGGTACCTTTCAGTTCATGTGACTTTAATCTTTGAGAAATAAAAAGAGCCTTAAAGACTATTGGTAAAATGCAGGTATCATTACAATGTAAATAGGTGACTAAATTATACAGGCAGTTGCAAGATTTGCTAAATGTTTTAAGGTTATAAACTGCTTTCTGCGTCTTGAGAACTATTTGACTTGCCGGCTTCACAGTTGTCAAGGCCTGGGGATATATGGAACTGTCCACACCCTTAATTATGCTGAAAAATGTCAAACCTTGGCTACACTTAGCACACAATTAAAGCAACTTACCAGGTTTCACCTTAAAGTTAAAAATCGCTAGGAGTTATTATTATGACATGTAATTGAAACTACCGGAAATAAATGATGTTCAATCTTCTTTAGGTTCTATTTTTAGGAATAATGTTAATACATATTCCAAAATTGTATGGAATTTCTAAAATTCTAATGTCTAAGTATATGCTATCAATAATAATTGAGGTTGTTATGTTAAGTTATTGTAAATCATGGAGCTAACCAAACTTCTTTATCAATCATGTTTCTAACTGTAACTACCCTGGACATTTTGCTATTCATAGACAATTGTTTTTCTTGTTTTAATCCTTTTCAAAAGATGGTTTATAATAAGCTATAGAACTGTAACAGGTGTTCTCAAATACAGGCTTCTGATAACTTTGGAGATTATAACATTAGAATAAAGCAAAACATACAGGACTCATAAAGAACTGAATGTTCACAAATATCAAGCAAAACAAAAGTTAACTAAATGGACTAAGAAAGCTGAAGGAACCTTTTTGATTTTTTGCTTGGAATAATGCTGATCCCTGTTTTGTTTTTCAGAGTCAAGGAAACTTAGTTTGAACTATTTACAGCCTTTAATAACTGAGCAAGGTATACTCCTATGAACAAAATTTGGAGCATGTTTTCTTCTCTCTGCCTGAATCCTCTAGAATTTGGAAACTATCTGTGAGTATTCTTAACTTATGGCCATATAGTTGTTTGCATCAGTGCAATAAGAATCCATTTTTCTTTTGCAACAGGACACAATTGGAGAAAGTGGTCATTTTACCAAGGGTGGAAGGGTATGCTTCCCTTTAAGGAATCAATCTGGACTTGTAGAGCTGGTAAAAGCTCCATGGGATATTGGCCTTATACTGTCGTCTACACAGTCCCTGTATAGGGCTCCTGACCTGTGGTCAGTAAAGAATGTCACTTTCTAACAGATCCAGAAACTCCAAATTTCTAACATGTCCAGCAGCTCCAAATTTTCCTTAGGACCTTAAGAGGAAAGGATCACCCAACTCACAGGTATTTGAGGAGACAGACCCTTTAAAGCTCAGCTTTAAAGGTCTTATCTGAGATTCCTTGTGGTACAGACTTCCATCAAAGCCAATCCAAAAGCCCTGTGTAGAAATAGTTATTCTTGCTGCACTTTATGCAAATAATCAGGCAAGTATAAAACTAAATTATATTTTGCAAATAACTCAGTCCTACTATAATTTGTTTTAAAATGAGGACTGGAAGGAGAGAAATTATGTTTTAAAACTTATACATTTGTCATTGAATCCTAAACTCATCAGTTATTTTTAAGTTTTTGCCTACATTTAGACTAACCCTGCTTGTTCCTGTGAACCAACCAGCAATCTCTGGCTGCAGCTCAGAAATAACAAAAGGGATGGGTAATGTGGAAATCTGGATCAGTATTCTAGTCTTGAGCAATTATTCTGCAAATCCTCCCAGTTGATGGCAATAAATAGGATGCCCACCACTTGGAGGTTTCCTTTTGGGAAAGTAAGACCAAGCGAACTAACCAAAGCCAAGTACCATACACCCATATCATAGCAAGCATAACTATAGCCGCCAGTTATCTAGGTGTGTCACAAGATGTCTCTTTTGCTCCTTTGTTGGAGGAGGACTCAGTTCCAGTTTCACCTTAGCATTCAGCTTATGATAAGGAGTCCATGCAGCGCCCCCTGAGACATATTTTTGTCCCAAACTCAATTCCAAACTTCAGGTCAAAGCCCTAGGAAGAAAACTGGATCTAAGGGATCCAGAGGCAAATGATAACAGAAGTTAAAAGGCACGGTGCAGGTGATCATGGATGTTCCTGCCTATCAAGCCAACTCCAAGCTTCCTGTTTCATGGATAAAGGCCATGTTAGTATCCATGGCATAAATGAGGTCTAGGGAATCCCAAGCTACTGACAGCAGGGGAGATAGGGCATACATGGGTAAGAGTGGGTGATTCCAACCCCCTACATCCCTTTGCTTCATGGTCGCAAGCTGCTTTGGCACTCATGTCAGCACCTACTAAGGTCACTGGGACCCAGGGATGCAAATACGGAAGAAGGAAAAGAGGATGTTCTTCCCTTTCTCCCTCATGTACCCCAGGTATCTGCTAAGAAGAGAAGGGAACCAGTGATGCCTGCTCCCCTCGGTCTAGATGGGTAGCCATTCATCTTTAGTCTGTACCCCTTTCAAATGCATCCTGAACCCCTGGGACTCCTTTCAAAAAACATACCTTTTTCTCCTTTCTCCTCCTCATTTCTCTCTTCACAGATAGGTAATTGTGTCTCTATACTATGGGACACTCTCCTCAGATGCATTCTCCAAACTGGGAAGAGTTAATTTTCCAAACCTTAAACTGGTTGGCTTATGACTGGGCTCAGGGGAAGGCAACCAGAAGCCCAACATGCCAGCAAGAGTAAGGTTTTTTTTTTTGTTTTTGTATTTTGAGACAAAGTTTTGCTCTTGTTGCCCAGGCTGGGGTGCAGTGGCGTGATCTCGGCTCACTGCAATCTCCGCCTCCCAGGTTCAAGCTATTCTCCTGCCTCAGCCTCCTGAGTAGCTAAGATTACAGACCTGAGACACCACGCCTGGCTAATTTTTTGTATTTTTAGTAGAGACAGGGTTTTGCCATGTTGGCCAGGCTGGTGTTGAACTCCTGACCTCAGGTGATCCACCCACCTTGGCCTACCAAAGTGTTGGGATTACAGGCATGAGCCACCACCCCCAGCCAAGGGTAAAGTTTTTTACCAGTCAGGCTTTTGGCCTCCATCTCCCTGTGCAAACTGGTAAAAGGCCTCAACATTTTTGACCTGTCCTTGCCTCTCGCATTGTTTGGTTTTGATACATGTTTTCTAATAACCTGGTTTGTCTGTTCTTGCCTTCTGCTCATCAGCCTCCAAATGGTCATGCAACCGGAGCCTCTGACAATGGCCCCTTCTGCTGGGGACCCTTAAATAGGCCTCTGAGGGAGCTCTGACTGCCATTTTCCCAAAACAGTGCCTCCTAAAACAGTGCCCCCTGTCAGCAAGAAGCAGTTAAGATCGGTCTTTGTTCTTATCCTTATTCTAATGGCAATTAGATGTACTTCTTTAGAGTGGGGAATGAGACAGCCAGGTGGGAGGGAGTCCCTGGCAGAATCCAGCCAGCCTGCACACTCAGGTGGAGCCTTGGGAAGTTTGCGCCATTTGCAGCAGGGTGGAGCCTGTCCCCTCCTCTTCCTGTGTGGAACCTGGGATTCAAAGGGCGAGGCTGGAAGCACTCTAGCAGGGAATTCCGGCCTTGCAGAGAGTACCTGTTTTCCCTTTTTTCCTTCTCACCAAATAAAACCCTGCTTTACTCACCCTTTAAACCATCTGCAAGCCTAAACTTTCATGGCATGGGACAAGGATCCCATCTTTAACTGACCTAAGAAAAAGTCCGGCAACAATGTTGAAGTCTATTATTTAATCTGTATGCTGGTCAAATATGTATACTCATGTTCTGTGGTTTTGTTATGCTATACACTTTTCTCTGTTATATTTAATAAAATGTTCAATAAGCAGTTCATATGACTAATTCTGCACATTTTTTATATCAAAAAAACACAAAATGACACATGAAAGCCTTATTTCTCTGCTTTACATCCCTGTCCTATCCTAGCAATACACTTCAAATGTGATTTAGTTTTTAAAATGATTGTAGTGCCTTCCACAAAGAAGACACGTTTAATCTATTTTCATCTATTTACTTATAGCGCCATCAATCTAATATCTGTACAGCAACTTAACTGTCCATCAATTTGATTTACACATAATGGATGATAATGTATACATTGTATTTGTATCTTGAGTTCTAATTATGTCTTTCAAAATATCTTGGCATTCTTTCCAGGACAAAGTCATCCTTTATAATAACTTTTCATCATATGAATGTACCAGGATTTACTTTATCAGTTTTTTGTTGACAGTCACGTTGGTTGATTTCAGTTTTTGGCCATTATAAATGATAATACATCATAATTAACTTGAGTATGTGTGTTGGGGGATGGAGGGTGTATGTGTATGTACAGGGAATTTTATGAGTATATCAGTAATCACAGTACGTATAGCAGATAGTCACAGGGCGTATTTTCATCTCTAGCTGCGATGGTTAAAAAGGTGCCAGCATTTAAGTTTTTCTAAACATTACAAATTTACCTCTAGAAATGTTCACAATTTACAGACCTATTAGCAGTTTAAAAGACAGATACACTTAACTGCTCTTGGTTTGTCAAATTAATAGTTTTTAATAACATAGGTAAAAAATTGTTAATTTATTTCCATTCTTAAAATTAAATATCTAAACTCTCTTGCGATTCTTAACTTTTATCTTTATCATTTAGCTATTTTCGTCCTTTTTTCATTTTCCAACTGAGTTTGTTTGTGTTGGATTTCTGATTTTTATGAGCTCTGTATTAGACTAATAAATAAGAATCTCACTGTAATATTTTTCTCAATTTTTAAATATCTTGATTGATTATTTTTGGTAGTATTCTACATTTTTGTATATTGTCAGATATACCTATATTTTTTTTTTGACTTTTGGAGTGTGTTACATGTATTGTTTAGAAAAATTCCTCAAACAAAGTAAGCCAAGATAATATTGCAGAGTCCTTTTCTGAGACTTGGATTTACTTTCCAGATTATGATTCTTCATTATTTAGGGAAAACAAACAAACAAAAAAGGAAATGAGGTTAATAACTAACTTTTTTTTACTCCTTGGTGCTCTAAACTCTGAACTTTAAATCCTAAGAGGTATATGTATGATGCAACAAAATGCATATAATACTTAACAAAATTATTGTTTTTATTTATTCAGGGATATTATGCAAGCTTAAACTATTAAAGATTAGAAAAAACTGCCTCTAGGACCTATACTTAAAAGACAAATAATGAAATTGAATGACATTATTGATTCCTAATCAGATCAATAAAAAGGAGACAGCCTTCTCAAACTGGGGAAATGGGAGTGAGCAATTATTCAGGTACAAATAGTTCCTGACTTACCATAGTTTGATTTACAATTTTTCCACTTTATGATTTTGTGACAGTAACATGCATTCAGTAGAAACTGTACTTTAAGTACCCATACAAACATTCTGTTTTTCACTTTCAGCACAGTATTCATTAAATTATTAGAGATATTTAGCAATTTATTATAAAATAGGCTTTGTGTTAGATGACTTTTCCCAACTGTAGGCTAATGTTAGTGTTCTGAGTATGTTTAAGGTAGGCTAGTCTAAGGTATGATGTTGAGTAGGGTAGAGTTTTTTGTTGTTGTTGTTTTTTTTTTGAGACAGAATTTTGATTTGTTGCCCAGACTGGAGTGCAGTGGCGTGATCATGGCTCACCGCAACCTCCACCTCCCCGGTTCATGCGATTCTCCTGCCTTAGCCTCCCAAGCAGCTGGGATTATAGGTGTAAGCCAGCATGCCCAGCTAATTTTTGTATTTTTAGTAGAGATGGGGTTTCACTATGTTGACCAGGCTGGTCTTGAACTCCTGACTTCCAGGTGATCCACCCTCCTTGGCCTCCCAAATTGCTGGGATTACAGGAGGGAGCCACTGCGCCTGGCCTTGGGATAGAGTATTAAAGTGCATTTTCAATTTATGATGGGTTTAGTCAGATGTAATCTCATTATATAAGTCGAGGAGAATTTGTACTTTATACAAAGAAGAAAAGTGACTCACTTTCACAGGATTAGGAAACTAATTGAGTAATGTCCAATGCATAGAACATTTTTGTGAATAAAAATAAAAGCTCTTTGTTGAAATAGCCTATGACTGATTTCTGTCTTTGTGTGTTTTAATAATTGTCTTAGTCTAAAATTATGCCAAGTATTAATTAAGAACTGAATAGAAGGAAATCTCTCCTTCCCTTGAAAAAATGTTTCCTAATAAAAAGTGGGCTAGCAAACAGCCAACTCTCATAACATTTATTTTCTCATTTTCAACCCTAAAAATTAATCTATGAAAAATTATTTTTGTAATAAGCATTACACACATCTTATATACGCATACAGACAGAAAACCTGTTCCAAGTGTGGTTCACTCTCATGTCCTTACCAACTTAAAATGCCATCATTATGACATGCTATATAGTATATGTGTTTTTGGCGTTTTTTTTTTTTTTAACTCTGTCTGTTCCTTTGATTTATGTATCTTGATGATAGTAACAAATTATGTTAATTATTATAGCTTCCAATCTTTTAATGTGTTAAGACTATATTTTGCATCATTACTCTTTTTTATAATTTTCCTGATTAGTCTACCATATTTATTTTCTCAGTAACCCTGTCCTGCTGTTATTTTAATTGGATTTCAGTTGAATTTATAGATTGACTTAAGAAAATTTTATATCTTTACAATTTGAGCTTTATAAATCTAGAAATACATTACATTTTCCATTTATTTTAATCATTTATTTGTTTCTCAGTAGGTATTGTTATTTTTCTATGCTCTTATGTTTTCTTCCTTTCTCCCATTTCCCTGTAAATATTGACATAGATGCAGATATAGATATAAATGCTATGCTTACTACTCTAAAGAGGTTTGTTTTCTGTCATATATTTTAAGCACCTTTCTATTCATAAAAAAGAAAATGTTTTAGTTTTGTAACATTTTATTATAGTAAATTCTTTAATTTTTAATGAGTTTTTAAGATAATTCTCATGTGTTTTTCTGATATGCAATTAAATAATCTTCCACGTTTCTTCTTTGTAGCCTATATTTAAAACTAGTATTTTAAGTATGTCTAAATCAATATGGTTAGCACTGCTAAAATAAATAGAATAATATTTGTTATAGAGGGCAAGATTGACTTGTCTAGTTCATGACTTCAATAGGAAAGCATCTTGTGTGTTTAAGTGTAAGTATATTTACGTAGAATATGGTCATTAATTACTCATAGTCAAATTAATGGATATACATCCCCACACACATGTCATGTTAAATATGTATCTATGTTATCTATTTAACATTTTAAAAATTAAATATAAATGTGGAATTAGTCAATTTCTCTCTTATTTGTCATCAACTTGATCCTGTGGTTTTATATTTTTAATCAACATTTGTGTCCTACAGAAAACACATCCTTAATTTGTAGTGAAACACTTGATTATGGCATATTATACATTTAATGTACCTCTGAATTCTATTGGTTAATATCCTGTGTGTTTCTTTGCATTGATGTTCATAATGATGTTGGCCTAAGGTTTTCTCTCCTTGGATTATTTTTGCTATTTTCATGCTATATTACAAACAATATCCTCTCACTACGTTTTACATTACTAAAATATATAGCAATGATAAAGAGACTAAATGTTTAGCAATACAAGAGACTAATATTTTTCATCTATATTTCCATTTTCTTATCAGTCTGCCTAAAGTTAGCCAGTTTCTCTATATCTTCTAAATATCCACCTTTGTTATTTTCAGTCTTCACCTTTTTATTTCATTATGTTTTTCTCTGATCTTTATTTTTCACTTTCTTCTTTTCATAGCTTATTCTGTTGCTTGTTTATAACTTCTTGAACTTACTATTTAGCTCATTACTTTTCAGTTTGCTTCTGATATAGTGAGTTTCCTCTAAACACTGCTTTTGGTATATCTACCATACAATTTGTTTTCTGGTATTATATTCATTCTGTTATTCTCTTCCATTGGTGTCCTGTCTCAAGTTGGAAGTTAAATACTTGCTCTCTTAATCTCTAGAATTCTTTTAAATTAATTAGTTTATTAAAGTTTCCAGAAGAAATTGTATGCATCGTAATGTAATGTGCAACTCCTCATAGTTTTGTGGGGAGATCACTTTACATTCACTATTTTGGTATTTTTCAAGAATCCAAATTTAAAATTGTTCTGAGAATAAAACAGAAACTTTTGATAGTGTCAAAAACTATGGTATTACAGATTATTACTTTGTGCCTTTGATGTTGGTATCATGTATATATCATATATGTGCGTGTGTGTGTGTAGTGTATCTTATTGTTTTATATAATTAGGCTTGGATATCTCTTTTTTTTAGACAGGGTCTCACTTTTTCACCCAGGCTGGTGTGCAGTAGCGTGATCATAGCTCACTGAAGTCCTGACCTCCTGGGCTCAAGCAGTCCTCCTGCGTCAGCACCACAAGTAGATATCCGGCTGGCTTCATATCTCTGTCCAAAATTTTGCACTATTCTTTTTAGAATTTATTAATTCCTTTTTTTTTTTTCCTGAGATACGGTCTTGCTTTGTTGTGCAAGCTGGAGTGCAGTGGTGTAATCTCGGCCCACTGCAACCTCTGCCTCCCAGGTTCAAGTGATTCTCCTACCTCAGCCTCCGTAGTAGCTGGGATGACAGGTGACTGCTACCACTATTTTTTTGTTTGTATTTTTAGTAGAGATGGGGTTAATTTCTGTATTATTATTATTTTTTTCTGTATTTTTGTAATTTAGTAGAGATGAGGTTTCACCATGTTGGCCAGGCTGGTCTCGAACTCCTGACTTCAAATTAGCCACACGCCTTGGCCTCCCAAAATACTGGGATTAAGCCTCCCAAAGTGTTGGGATTAAGAATTTATTAATTCTTGGCCGGGCGTGGTGGCTCACACCTGTAATCCCAGCACTTTGGGAGGCCGAGGCTGGCAGATCACGAGGTCAGGAGATGGAGATCATTCTGGCTAACACGGTGAAACCCCATCTCTACGAAAAAATACAAAAAAAATTAGCCGGGTATGGTGGTGGGCGCCTGTAGTCCCAGCTACTCAGGAGGCTGAGGCAGGAGAATGGTGTGAACCCAGGAGGAGGAGCTTGCAGTAAGCTGAGATTGTGCCACTGCACTCCAGCCTGGGCGATAGAGCGAGACTCTGTCTCAAAAAAAAAAAAAAAAGAAAAAAAAGAATTGATTAATTCTTAATTGTTTAATTTTCCCTTAAATCACCATCTTACTGGCTGGCCGTCTCAGGGTAGTATCCATTTTATATATTTTAATTGTATCCTTCAAATTACTTAGCACAATACAAGACCCACAATAAATTTTTGACTGATCTGCTGTCTATTCCTTCAAGAATATGAAAAAAAAGAAGCTTTAGAAAATGCATGTACAAAAAAAGTCATTTGTAGATGAAACATCCTAAGTTATTGTCCAGAGTGTGTGTTCTGTTTTTCTTGTTTTTCTGTGTGATTTTGAAGAACATACATTCTAAAGAATATAGTTCATGTGTTGTGTTGTTGATGAAGGTCTCTCTGGACAACTAATTTTTGAGAAAAAAAAAGAAGACCAGGATATGCCTCTCAGGCAATATTTTTAGACAGACTTTCTCAGCACTAAACATCATCTTGTTCTTTAGGCTGTGGGTGATTGATGCATTGCCATTCCAGATATGTCAGAAGTCAAAGTAATGTTTTATTTTACTTTTATGTCTAAGATGTCATTTCTACAAATCATAAACATGCTTTGGAAAGTATAAAACCAGTTTTGTATAGCTATTTAATGAACTGTGAACAAATCTCTGCAGTAAATTGTTTTCATGTGTACTAGAGCCACTGTATATATATGCACATCAAAGCTTAGTTGTCAGATATTACTAGTAATGGAATATGCATTAAATAGACCAATTTTTTATTGATTTTATTTTATTTGAGAGAGGATCTCACTCTGCCTCCCAGGTTGGAGGGCAGTAGCATGAACACAGCTTACTGCAGCCTCGACCTCCAGGGCTCAAGTGATCTTTCTACCTCAGCCTCACAAGTAGCTGGGATTACAGGCACACACCACCATGCCTGGCTTATTTTTGTATTTTTTATAGAGAGGGGGTTTCATCATGTTGCTCAGGCTGGTCTCGAACTCCTGGGCTCAAGTCATCCTCCCACCTAGGCCTCCCAAAGTGCTAGGATTAAGGGCATGAGCCACCGTGCCTAACTATATAAACCAATTTTTAACATGTTAACTCATAAAATAATTCAGTGAAGTTTAATTTTCTCTACCTAGTTAACAAAATTGCAAGATCAAGTCTGGTGTGGTTTAGTAGAATCAACATTAGACTGGAGATCAATATCATTGTGGTAAATTATTTATTTATTTATTGTTTAATATTTACCCTGCCTTCCAGAAGATTGTTTTTCCTTCTCTATGAGGGACCAGCTTGGCCCTATGACTTGTCTACCCCACCTTATTAGAGGGTTATTATACATGTCTGTCCACTTGAGTTAGGATTGCCCATGCAACTTATATTTGCCAATTAAATGTGAGTGAAAGTGATATAATGGCATTTCTAAGAGTAACTTTAAGAGCCAGTTGTTGTTACCAGTGTTTCTTTCTTGCCTTCATACATGTAGCAGTTTCGAAGACAAAAGCATCGCTATCAGGCTAAGTTCTTAAGTGAAGGTGATAAGAATCAGATCAATAGCCGAACATTGCTGAATATTTAGCATGAGTGTGAAAAGACTTAATTCTTGTATTTCTACTACAGGTCTCCAGATGTTAGTTACTGCTACAAGATCTAGCTTGTTATAACTATTGCCTTGAAATTTTAATTCTGTACATTTTGTTAAATTGATTTTAAGTTATTTTATCTTCTGGTGTCTCACAGTCATTCAAACAGCATATTAATAACTTTTAAATGACACTTAAATTCATTCATTTAACACATTAACTTATCCATTAAAAATATTTACTATAGTCCTGTTAGGTGACTGACATTGTACATGCATTGATAATATATTAAAAAGGCAACATCTTCATCTATCTCATAACCATAGAGGATACAGATATTAGCTTCCTAATCTCACAAGTAATTACAAAATATTATTTGTAATTAGATTTGTATTTACAATCCAGATTAGGTTCTCATTCCCAATTCTTCCAAAATATATTTGGAAGACCTGAACTAGACTTAAAAGGTAGGAATTATTTTCTTAATAAAGCAGTATTAACCTCACTCAATAATAAACAGTTGAAAACAAAAGACAAAGAATATTAAAAACATCAGAAAAAAATAACACAACATGTAGAAGGAACCCACTACATTTTTAAGATTAACAGCTGCTTTCTTGTCAGAAATAAAAGAGTGGGATAACATACTCAAGTGCTGAAAGAAAAATATTGCCAACAAAAAATTCTATGTTTAGTAAAATTATCCTCCAAAAAAATGAAGAAAAAATTCAGACATCCTGAATAACCAAAAAATATAAATAATAGCTAGTGACCGTGGTCTAAAATCGACATACAGGAAGTCTTTTAAGCTGAAAAGAAAGGACATTACACGGTAACTCAAATCAGCATACACCCATAAGACGCAGCAGTAAAGGTAACTATATAGTTAAATATAAAAAGTATAAATGTAGATTTTATTTTAATACTTTTTTACCTGCTTGATTTAAAAGACAAATATCTAATGAAATAACTATAAATCTGTATTAATGGGCATAAAATGTACACTGTAATGTTTGTATGACAATAAAACCAAAAATGAGTAGGATGGACGGAACTATACAGACACATAGAGTTTGTGAATGATTGAAATTAAGGTGGTATAAACCAAATTATATTGTTATAAATTAAGAAGCTGATTGTAATATCTGGGTTAACCATTTAAAAAAAGCTCATAAACTATAGTAAAAAAATTAAGAAAATTAAAATGGTATATTAGAAGACAACTATTTATCAAACAAAAACACGTAAGACAAGGAAAACAAACAGAAAAATGGCAGACTGAAACCCTATCTTACTAGTAATTACATTAAACAATTAAATGTACAAGGAATAAACACTCCAATCAAAAGGAAGAGACTGGAGGAATAGATTTTTAAAAAATGATCCCACTGTATGCTTTCTAAGACAAGAAACACTTCAGGTTCAAAGATACTATTTTTTAAAAGATTAAAAGGATGAAAAAAAGATATACCATGAAAACAGTAACAAAAGATGAGCTGAGCTGCCTATTCTGAGACAAAATAGACTTTAAGACAAAAATTGTTACTAGAGACAAAAATAATATTTTATATCAATCAGAAATGTAATATATATTATTAACAATACAGCCCCCAAATATATGAAGAAATAACTAACAAAAATAAAGGGAGAGTTAAGCAATTCAACAATAATTGTTGGAGACTTATTGCCTCAAATCCAATAATAGATAGGAAAACTAGAAGATAAAAAGAAAATAGAATGAAAAGCACTATAAACGAACAAGACATAAGAGACATCTATAAAACACTATGCAACAGCAGAATATGTATTATTTGTAAGTTTCCCATGGAACATTAAACAGGATAGATCATATCTTTTCCTTTAACACAAGTCTCAATAAATTTAGAAAGACCCAAATCACACTCAGTACATTCTCTGATTACAATGAATGCAATTAGAAATAAGTAACAGAAAAAAAATTCAGGAAATTCACAAATATGCAGAAATTATATAATAGACTCCTAAATAAGCTATGAGTCAGAAAATTACAAGGAAAAATAGGAAATAATTTGAAATGAATACAAACACAACACAGAAATATTTATGAGGTCCAGCTCAGCAAAAGCTCTCTCGGTCTCTGTGTCTCTGTCTTGCTCTTTGACTCTCTTTTTATCCCTGTCTCTGTCTCTCCCTCTCTGCATGTGTGTATACACACACACATACACACATATTTCAGACACCACATAACAAAATTTCAGTCAACAACAAACTACATATATGATAGTCATTCCATAAGATTATAATACTGTACTTCCGTACTTTTACTGTACATTTTCTGTGTTTAGATATATTTAGATACAAAATACCAATCATTGTGTTACGATTGCCTGCAGTATTCAGTACAGTAACAAGCTGCACAGGTTTCTAGTCTAGGAGCCATAGGCTATACCACATAGGCTAGATGTGTAGAAGGACATATCACCTAGGTTTGTGGAAGTACACTCTATGTTTGCACATGGATGAAACTGTCTGTTGACACGTCTCAAAACATATCCCCATTAAGTGACTCATGATTGAATATGTATATGTGTGTGTGTATATGTATATATATACACACATATATATGTGTATATATATTTATATATTTAGACTGAATCTCGCTCTGTCCCCCAGGCTGGAGTGCAATGGTGTGATCTCTGCTCACTGCAATCTCCGCCTCCCAGGTTTAAGCAATTCTCTTGCCTCAGCCTCCCGAGTAGCTGGGATTACAGGCGCACACCACCATGCCTGGCTAATTTTCGTATTTTTAGTAGAGATAGGGTTTCGCCACATTGGCCAGGCTGGTCTCAAACTCCTGGCCCCAGATGATCTGCCCACCTCAGCCTCCCAAAGTGCTGGGATTACAGGCGTGAGCCACCGTGCTCGGCCTGTATACATATATTTGAATATTGAGATAGGAACTATGTGGTTGGATACAGACATCTGGAACTCCCAGTACAAGTATGATTTGGAGAAAAACATTTGGAAATTAGTTATGTATTAAGAATAATTAAACTTACAGCAATATGAGTTCTTAGGAGGAAAGAGCATAGAGTAAAAATAAGCTTTTATACTACTTGAAAAACAATAAAAGAAGGTGGCAACAGTGACAAAGAGGAAAGCAGATATTAAGGAAGAGAAAGGGCAGCATTTTATGTAAGTGAGTAAACAATCAGGGACAAATACTGTTGAGAGGTTAAGAACAATGAAGATAAATGTGCCTATTAGATATTGCAACAGAGAGGTAACTAGTGTACTTAATGACTTCAATGGTACAAAAATTAGGCAAAAGTTATATTCTAATGAATTAATGACTCATTAAGTATACTG
Source organism: Homo sapiens (assembly GCF_000001405.40). Taxonomy (NCBI): domain Eukaryota; kingdom Metazoa; phylum Chordata; class Mammalia; order Primates; family Hominidae; genus Homo; species Homo sapiens. Next base: position 84,011,286 of record NC_000013.11, read on the forward strand.
TTTGGAAGAAATTTGTAAATGGGAGAGAGCTAGGACTGTAGTTCTAAAAATTATTAAACCTTTTTCCAAGCTGAAAAGTGCTAACCAAACACAAAATTTAATTAGTCTTGTTCATAATGGATTGGATAATCTACTTTCATATGTTCCTTTTATGAAAAATGAAGGTTTTAGACCACATGATATTTAATCTTTGCAATTTTATAATAAAGAATTGAAAACATTGTCAATATTTTTAAAGTTATATAGTTTACTACAATATTTAAAGTAGGATTCCTTTTAATATTTTTACCTATAAAAACAGAAATATACCTATCATCAAACCAAAATAATTAGTGAGTCTTTAAACTGAAGGAACTTCATGATATAGAGCGTTGCCATATGAATATTTAAACATTTGTAGAAGGGATGATAGAGGGGAGTATATGAATATTACATTCGCTTGATTAAAGTTTCTCACAGTGGCATCCCACTTGAACCAAGCTGTGCAATTAACACACCTCCCCCTACCCCTACCAAAAACTCACCCTCTCATTCCAAAAGAATCCAAGTTTATCATAAGAATTAAGCAATCTAATTATTACACGTAAGTATGAATATCTAATAAACTTAACCTCAGATTATTAACCCTTAAGTGGAAGAAGTTATTTAAAAAATTTTTGTTACCAAATTAATCTGAGATTGTAGAATATTTGTGACTTTCTTGCTGAAAAACAGCCACAAAAACATACCTCTACCTTAGTGCCGCATTACTCATTGTTTCTTATATTAAGCAACTAGTTTTTATTGTCACCATTTTGTTCAGTTCAAATATTAAACAGTTTCCTCAGTAACTATTCTGAGTGTAATACTGTGTTTGTTGCAGGGGTAAAAACATGCGTATAACACAGTAGATAAAACCTGAAACTTTATCAAGGAATCCAGGAGATTCTAGTTGGAGTCTCAGCCTCTCCTATTATTAGCTCTGTGAAATTGGGCTACTTAACCTCCTTAAGCTTTAGTGTTATCAAGTGAATTAAGATAGTAATAGGAATGTTATAAAATGAAATATAAAAAGTTCATGTAAAGCACTTAAAACAGTTCCAGGTACACAGTAAATACAATATAAATGCAAGTTATGATGATGGTGATAAGAAAAATATTTTATTTCCTTTTAACCAAAGACTTTATGCTTTTAAGTTGTTTAGACAATATATTAATGATAGCATAATATTCAAAATTTTTTAACTGAAAGGAGTTTCTAGTATCATAAGAAGAATCTTTGCTTTTGAAAAATGCCTTCCTTCAATTTCACTAACACATTTTTTTTCAATTTGAGGTTTTCCAATCATTTTTCGTGAAATTTTCTGCAACATTTAGTATATGCAGTGACATTAGAAATTTATAAATAGTTATTAAAGCTTATTCCATGCAGGTGTCACCTGCAAGCAGGAAATATATGAAATATAGCATCTTGTATAATGAAAATATTATTAATATTTATGTCCTATTAAAAGAGACAAGCTCAGTTTATCAAGTTGTATAATTTAGAAGAGTTCTCTGTCAAATCATATCTTTTAGTCACACCAGCCATCATATTTGATATGGGTTTGCTGTGTCCCCACCTAAATCTCATCTTGAATTTAACTCCCACGATTCACACATGTTGTGGGAGGAACGCTGTGGGAGGTAATTCAATCATAGGAGTTAGTTTTTCCCATGCTTTTCTCATGACAGTGAGTATGTCTCACGAGGTCTGATGGTTTTAAAAACAGGAGTTTCCCTGCAATACTCTGTCTTTGCCTGCCACCATCCATGTAAGACGTGACTTGCTCCTCCTTGCCTTTGCCATGATTGTGAGGCCTCGCCAGCCAAGTGGAACTGTAATTCCATTAAACCTCTTTTTCTCCCCAGTCTCAGATATGTCTTTATCAGCAGCATGAAAATGAACTGATACACTGTTTATCACAAAGTGTTGCCAATTTTATTTCAAAATATAAGGAACTAGTGATGTAAATATAGTCACTGATTATTACAAATACAAACTCTATGTTCAGAAAACAGAATTTTTGGCACAATCAGTTCTATATTTAATCCATCTGCATATGTATATACATAATTCCTACTATTGAAATATTCAGATCGTTGACAATATTGCCAATAAAATGTGAAAGAATAAACTCACTATCTTAAATGGCATAGTGCTTTGAAGCCAGAGCAAAAGGATTAGCACCCCTCTTTAAAGGCCAATGCCAAAAGAGGTCTTTTCATTTTTTACTGAATTCCCAGAAGTCAAGGCAGGACAGAATTCCAGGGATAGACAATTTTATAACCTTGGATGTACAGTGTATTATTTAGGTAAATATAAAAGAAGAAAATAATTACTGAGTTCTTAAAGAACGTATCTTATTGTCAAGGCAAACATTTTTTTCTTAATGAATCTCCTACTCTGTTTGCATTTTTAAAAAGTTAAAAGAAGGTAATATACATTTTTTAATTGGGTAAGGGACTAGAATTACCATATAGACAAATCGCATATTTTCAACGTTATATTGATGGCATTTTAAATTCTCATCTAGGTGTTCTACACATACATGCACATGGGCGTGCACACACACATACTGTTGTGGGGGGAGAATATATATGTAGAAAAATAATTAGGCATGTATGTTGATGAGTAGCCTGTCACATTCAAAAGTCTGCCCATGCTGAACAGTGTCTCTGTCAACTAACTCTGAGTTATTTATTACAATGCCCTGAATCACTATTGTGGTTGTCAGTATTTTTGGTGAATCACTTTTACTTTATTTGGATAGATTTTACATAAATTTTAATGAAGTGATATATTTTTGAAGTACTGAAAATGGGAAAGGACAAGAGTGGGTGAGGAAAGGAGAAGGGAGAAGGGAATGGCAGAGGTAAAAGGGAAAGAGTGTACTTCTAAACTTAAATATGTGTATCATTTCTGATATTAAATTTAGAAAAACATAAAGTCATAGATCAAAGCACAAATTCATATGCTTAATTAAGTAAACAATGAAATATATAAAAATAAAACAAATGTATATAGCCTAAGAGTAAACTTAAAATGTTTCTATCTGCCTTTATAGTTGTATTACATAATTCTGGAAGTTTGGAACACATAGAGTACATTGTTGGGGATGTGGTTACTCCAAAGACAACAAAAAGAAGAAAACAAATGGTTACTTATTATTAATACCACTAGTTTCTAGACCTGTTGCCCAAAGTACAGTGATCACACACTAAATTAAAGTAAGCTCAGAAAATGACTTTTTATTTAACATAGTTTGATGCCTGGAACATTTGAACTAACTCCTATGTGAAGTTCACTATAATCCACTTTTTCAAAAACTACATTAGCTCTACGTTGTCAGTAAGCATTGATAAATCATAAAAAGTAGCAAGTATAAAAGAACATGACCTTTAAAATTTTTTTTAAAGTCAATAGTTTTCCCAAAGTGTATATGCTTATTATGTACTGCCTGCCTTCTTTCAAGCAGAAAGACTCTTTGAAGAGTCAAATAAAAATGCATTTATTCAACAAATATTAAGTATTTGATAAATACAAGGTACTGTGCTCAAGTCTATAAAGATAGCAAAGATTTATAAAATGTGGTGTCCTACCTCAAGAAATTTACAACTAAGTATGAAAGAAAAAAAATAAACCAAGTAAATATCATGAAAAGCAATATATCATTGTAATATAAATGGCATATAAGCAGTTCTCTAGACTTTCTGAGAAACTGTAAATGATCTCTAAGAAAGTAGAAATGCTTTTTAAAAATTATTTAGACTTGGTCTTGATAGATGGATTGGATCTTGAGATGGCATTACTTGATTTATTAAGCCAGTGCTTTAATAAGGTTTTTTTGCAATGATGTTGTGATGTTGCATAATCAACATGTGTACAATATTCTGGCAGGTATGTGAAGTATAAACTGGAAGTGTCAAATGTGTGAAATTATTAGCCAGGTGGTTCAATGGCTGGTTTTGTTTTATCCTATTTTTAATAAATATTAAATTAATAATGTTTTTTATTTATGAGAAGAGAAACAGTAGTGCCTTGCAAAGATATTCACAACTTAGGGTGTATATAGTTGTTTTCTGATAGGTTGTTATTGTTATTACTCCTCGAATATCCTTGGATAAGATAAGCTTAGGTATTTCTGTTGAATCTTTGGAATGAATCAGAAGACTGTTTCAACAAAGTTTTTCAGTTTTCCAATAAAAATTTTGCGTTCTTATTGTAATAAAAATGCAAAATGCAAAAATACAAAATGCATTTTGTAATTACAAATAATTATTTAATAAATTATTTAATAATTATTTGTCAAAACTAGGACACTTTTACCTGGAAGGAGGAGACAATTTTGAGCACAGCATATTATTGTTCTCTTGGATATATATCACAATCTAATGCTTTGTAAACTCATGTCTGAATCCTCTAGGAGTTTGGGAAGTATTAGTAAAACTTGACAAAAGTATCAGTGAATGTCAACCACTTTTGTTAACGTGGTGGACCACTCTACCATCACAGCAGCCAACTCTAACCATGGCCTAGCTTTGAAGTCTTAGTGTTGTTTAAATTAGTTTTGCATAGCTTTCTGTTTATTTCAATAAAAGGCCTTCTATCTGATACAAGCAATAAATATTAATTTCAAGCCACATGGCAATGCAGAATAAGCTATCATTAACACAACTTGAAACGTGGCAGAGATACATTGAAATGTAATCATTTCAACATTTTTGGTACTAAATTGAAGGAAGGTAGGGATTGCTTTCTGGATGAAGCATCATAATGTTACTTATTATTTACTTATATATTTATTGCATGACATTATGCAATTTAAAATAACGCAAATATTAAGTCAAGGAAGAACAAAATGTTTATTAAAATGCATAGAAAGCTTCATGGCTCAGCAGTAAATGGTGTTTACAGTCCTTAATAAAATAATCGCAGAATGGTGATTTAACCAAAAATAGGAATATGCTATTAGAAAGAAGAAAGTATGACAGTGAAATATACATGATTATCACTGGATATTTGTGCCTAAAATTGATTGAGGAAAAGCAGTAAAATATGTTATTTTTTAAATGTGAAGATAAAATAGTAAATAAATAATAATATTGGAGAGTTTTATTATGAAGTTAGATGAGAAAGACATCTAAAGTTTTTCCTTATGAGAGGTTGTTTCGTTTGATTTTTAAAATGATGCTCAGATTTTTTTAAAAAATTGAGATTCCAGGCACAAATGGAGTAGTTTAAAACTCTAATAAAAATAAGACATTTGTGTATATCTCTAAATATTCTTCAATTCCAGTAAACTCTTACATTCCATTTGGCGATACCTTGAAGAAAACTTCTAGATGGCTGTTTTAAAATTTATTAACATATTTATTAAACATTTATGATATCCAGACTTTATAGTAGATGTAGAGCTATAGACATAATGGAATATGTTTCCTGCAATTGACAGCTTGCATTTTTATGGATGAAAGACATAGAAATAGTTAGAATTATGTTTTAAGTGTTGTAGTAGATGTAATGATAATGCAAAAGAAGGAGTGCAGGAAAAATACATGTTCCAGGAAGCGGGAGATAAATCTTAACTCATTAGAAAAATAGTCTGGATTTTTTAGAGAACTGTAAATAGGCAGTGTGGCAGGAGGAAAGCATACTTTTGAAGGAAAATAGAAATCTGAAGGGATCATTGGAGGCAACAGTATGAGGAAAAGAGAAAGTCTTTTAACTAGAAGAGTCAAATAATTACCACTTTCTGCGTGAGCCATAACTGTCCATACTCTACAGCTATTTTAATTCCTATTGATGTATGTTGACTCCTCACTGCTCTATTAACAATATTCATACACCAATTTACGTAATTTTTTGTCTCTATTTTGGTAATTTCAACTATCTTTATTGATGCTCCTTTAGCTACTCCTTTTCACCTTTTTGAAACTGCGTAGAACTGTTGTTTTTCATGAACATTGCATTTAATTTCCCTTCAAAGCACATGCTAAACCATCATTGCTTGAATTGCTTCTAATTTGAATCTTTAGTTGGAAGCATTTTATAAATCCCTCATTGAGGTTTCTCTCTCTATCACACACACATACACCCACACACGCACACACAGAAACACACACACATACAATTTAAGCTTTATTATTATTACAAAGGATGTTAATTTAAAAAATATGATGAGTCTATTTGAATAAGAAAAGAAAGTGTAATCTCTATGGAGTACATCTAAGCATCCCACAGTACTGAATCTCAATAAGGCTTGTTAACTGTATGAATAAGTATAATATATTATTCAAACTGATAGTTTATTCACAGGCTGACTAAAAGATGGTAGTATAACTACCGTAAGGTATATAAACAAATTTCTTTTCAAAATTTGGAATGCATTCATATTGTTTCAGAAATTAGCCATCTGCCCTATTACTGGGGGCTACATTAAATTTCCTTGAGTGTTTTTTTTTTTTTTTTTGTCATACTAGCTGGTATTCCTAATTCAGTACATCAGGATATATCTGTACAACTAGATAGACAACCCAAATAATTTGAAATTTAAAAAATATGAGACTAAACTCTTTTCCAGTTTTTGAGTCTCATCTTTGAATACATCAATCAACTCCAAATGACATCAGCCATATTAAGATAATCAAAATACCAGCAAGCTTTTTCTCTATAATATTTTGGCTAGATTGGATTGAGACTAACAAAGATAATAAAAGAAATGCAAAAGAATGAAAACTAGAGACAACTATTAAATAACATGTCAATTTAAAAATGCTTATTCACAGCCTTTGCATGTAACATTTTAGAATTTGCTGTGTTTACATAAAAAACTATCACTCACATTGACATTTTATTGGTAAGGCAGAAAATATATTGCTATGGCTATGTGAAAAAATGCTGAACACAATTTTGGTAAGATGTTTAAATACATAACTATATACACTCAAGCTCAATATATCTGAATATTTTTTCAATTGCCACAAAGAGTAACATATAAAACCATTCTCATGACATGACGTCAGAAATATTTCCTACTTTCTTAGCATATTATTATATGCAGTCATTTAAAAATAATTATTAATATGCATATATGGAGAAAGATTGTTTTCCAAGAGCACATCCAGTATTTATTTTATAGAACACTGATGCATACAAATAAACAAACAAATAAGAAATAGGGATGGTGCTGCCAACCATACTCCCATAAGTTTTGAAATATTTCTGCTAGTGGTCAGAGGCTAGCTACAATTTTGTTTATTGTGAAGTTAGTGGAAAAGATGTTTGACAGGAATAACTGAAAAAAAGTAAAAGGAGGTGCCCCGGCAAACCACAATCCCATTTGTTAGAATCCTCTCAAGTTCACACGTACTTCAGAAAGATCAGTAAAGTATACAGTGCCTCTCATGGCAAAAATAGGATCAAATTTTCTAAAAAAGCAGAGCCAGAGCCCTGCAAATTGCAATTATGTTTATTCAATTTTGAATTCTACCTTATTATTTATGATAATCAAATAATCAGCATGTTATTAAAGTATAATTTACATCCAGTAAAATGCATTAATGTTAAAGGTCCAGCTTTAAGAATATTAATATATGAATACATTCCTGTAGATACTATCCAGATGAGGTACTGGATATTACTGTTTCCCTGCATCGCTCTCTCTGTTCCTTTTAGTCAATCACAATCTTCTACTCTAGGCATCCACTATACTGATTTCTAAGAATTATAGCTTTGCCTATCCTAGAACTTTACATGAATAGTAATATTACTCAATGTGTATTTTTTTTTTTTTTTTTGAAGTGGAGTCTCACTCTGTTGCCTAGGCTGGAGTGCAGTGGCATGATCTCGGCTCACTGTAGCCTCTGCCTCCTGGGTTCAAGCATTTCTCCTGTCTCAGCCTACCAAGTAGCTGGGACTACAGGCATATGCCACCATGCCCAGCTAATTTTTGTATTTTTAGTAGAGACGGGATTTCACTGTGTTGGTCAGGATGGTTTTGATCTCTTGACCTCGTGATCTTCCCGCCTTGGCCTCCCAAAGTGCTGGGATTACAGGTGTGAGCCACCGTGCCCAGCCTCAATGTATATCTTTTTGTGTCTGGTTTCTGTTGCCCAATACGATGTTTTTGAGAGTCATCCACATTTTGCCTGTTTTGGAAATGTGTTCTTTTTTTATTGCCGATGAGCCTTCCATTGGATGTAATACATCATAATTAGTTTTTCTATTCTTGTGTTGGACACTTGGACTGTTGCCATTTTGAGTCGTTTTTAAATACGGTTTTTTTCAATGTTCTATCAATCTTGTTTTAAGAATAAATATATATTTTTAAATATGCATAATTAAACCCAAAATCTCATTAGTGGAAATCTGTTGGAAAGAGACAACCATCTTCAATTCTCATCCAGGGGATGAAAGGAGACTGTCTTGATTCTAAATCTTAAGGTAGTGATTGGCATCCATATTTATCCCAATAGACAAGGCACTATTAATGGTTATAAGACATAGGTCATAGACAGAGAGTGAAAGCTCCACCTGTTGAAAGGGTTGAACTTTTCCTAAAAGGAAGGTAAGGTAGCACCCAGAGAAAGCTGACAACAGGTGAGGTTGGTGCCCTGGTGGGATCCTGAGTGCATGTCTGAAATGGTAGGTGTATTCACACGGAAACTCGCATATGGAGCCCTCAGGATTGAAGTGTTTTACATATTGTGGGAAGACTATGCAGGATAAGTTCTCAGAAACTGGAATTTCAGCTTTTCTGGCTTCTAGATTTAAATTCTCATTTGAGGACACACTATTATTAATGTATTAAAGACAAGATGCGAGAGAAACAGGATTTTCTGTTACATTTTCTTTAAGGAATTCTCTCTTTATGTGAATTATAATTTAGATTTTACAGTGATTATTTTTGGCAATTCCAAGACATATAACCTAGCAGGCTGTGGAAAAAATAGTAGGACCAAACCATTTGATTGCTCTGCATGTTAAAAAAGCCTTACCTCTTTGAGAGAAGAAAGGGTAGTGAAGAGTAGGGCCACCAGGATTTCATAAGTAAAAAGATGATGAAAATATTTTCTTTATAAGTCCAGTTCCCCTAGTTGGGGATGATATGTTTCATTGGCAAGTCACCCTAATGAAAATTAATGAAAGTCCCTTTAAGATTGTCTATTCCTTTTTGGCAATTAATTTTTTTACAAACCACCTCTTCAAGCCACCTGAGGTTGAATTTAAAGTAAGAATTTATCATCTAACTATTAGTAATGGCACCATTGGTTGTGATACTCTAAAATCACAATGGCTTCTTGCTTTAACTATTTCTAAAGGTCTTTTATCCATATGTTCACTGCATGTACTCCAAACACAGATGACCCCCCCCCAATGCCAGTGATTGTACAGATCTATAAAACAGACAGAAATAAGAATAACAGAATATCTTAGTAATGAGCTCAGTAGTATAATGTGTGATGCTACCTTCATGTCCAAATAACCTACATTATAGTTGAAATAAGCTTTAATATTTGTTAGAAATAATAATTTAAGTTCCATACACAGGGGCTAAAACAAGATTTGATTGTGGGAGAGTCTGATCAGTCTATCTAGAGTCTCTGTCACCATTGTGGTAAATCAATATTCAGATGCACATGAGTAAGAAACCAAACCTGTGACTATTGAAAACAGGAAAGTGCTGGACACAAAGCCTTTTTATCTGGCAAAGACTATGTACTCGGCATTAGAGAACTCTCAAAATGGGAGTGATGTTTACTTTTGGGATCTGAGAATATTCTAACACTGTAAGCAGAAGACCCATGAAGATAGAATATTCATTTTCTAAATAGAATATACTTTGAGAATTATGTCTCAAGAGCATCATTTTCAAGCCAATAGAAACTTATTACTGGCTTGGACTGCCAAGGAGCTTTCTAGTTCCCCAGCTTCTCCTGAATGATGGAACTAAGTTGATAAACTAGAGAATTCAGGCCTCCAGAATAGAGCTAAAAGTGTTTTCTAGTGTCATCTTGGTAAAGGGCACTAAGCCAAGAATTACACATCCACACATTTTAGGATGATTAGCAACTATTCTTTTAAGGAATTAATTTAGGGAAGAGTAATTAATTTCAATGTCAACAGTGGCACAAAGAGATTAAGAAAATTGCTCTAACTCCCAAAGCTAGTAAGTGGAGGAATGTGGTTGAATCTCTGTCTTCTTGCTTCAGATGTCTGTTTTTCCTTCACGTTACAAATAAATGAATGCCGTGAATTATTGTCACTCATGGTATGAAACAGAATTTTCTCAAGGGAGAGAAAAGCTAACTCATAATTTCTCCAGTTGCTTAAAGGGAACCTAGATGATTTTCATCAAATACATTGTTTTCAGATTTGGAGATTACCTTTCCAGAACAGCTTAGGAATTATCCTTGACACTTTCTCCAGAGTCACTGTATGCCAAATATCATGGCAACTTTTAAAGATGGATTAACTATACATTTTCTAGTTTTTTTTTGGAGATAGTGATTCAGTTTTGTGAGTTAATTCCATAAAAAGCAAGGGACTTTTAGTTCTAAAATTTTAAAGCAAATGCTAGCTGGATTATGTTATTCTCATTTTGGAAAGACTATATTGATTGGCTATAGAAAGAATCTAAACATATATAAACAGAAATTAAACACATATCATAATACATGTAAATATTGAAAATTTGAATAATAGGAAAAATACATTTTTATGGTTTTTGTTGGAATAGCTTAGATATGATTTACTTTGTGGGCTCATTCTCTTCTGAGGGAAGGAATCAGAGGTGCACAGATCTTGATGTGCATGCTTTCACTTTACATGGCCCACAGGTTGAATTCTTAAACTAATATTTACAATATGCAAAGGTTTATGAGTTCATAATCCCCCTTTTTTGTCTAAGAAGAAGAAATTATTTTAATTTAAAACTACACTTACTAGAGTATTTACCAATTGGGAGTGAAAGATCAGATTCAAGAAACAAATAATTCCTCAAGAAAGGAAAGAAAGTTGTGGGTCATTTTGTAACTTTTTTCCTGTGGCTTCACATAAATCCCATCTCAGGGAAGCAATGACACACATAAGGTTGATTTGTACTTTAAAAGTGTGTCCTCATAGCATTACATAATGTATAATGCTTAAAGTGTAGTGTCAAAGGCTTTCTTCAGCCTTCTTATCTGTCTTTTTTTTTCCATTTTAAAGTATACATATGCAACATTAACTCACAAGTGTGCTTTTATTTTCATTTGCTTCTAACTATATGGAGACAACTTATTCTTCAATTAGAATTGTGTGTTTATCTTCTTTGTAAGTTCTCCTTACTCTTATCTAAAATGTTACATTACTTAAACTACATTGCCCCTGCTTGATTAAATTTTCAGTTAGGAGTTAAGTGCCATGATGTAAGAGACAATTATAAGCAGAGCCATGCTGCAAAGTACATAATTAATTAGGCCATTGAATGTATACTTTATCTCCTAAAAGAAACCTATGCCAAGCACTAATACAGAAATCATGAAAACAGACTATTTGCTGAAATAGAAAAGTTACAGAGGAGAACAAATAGGAGAGGAATGTTATTCATGTTTGAAAGTAATTTACTCCTATTGTGAGCCTCAAAAACAATTTGTATCTGATTCATACCTCCCAAAATTTGATTTTAAAAATTACTTAAAAGAACTAGACATTCAGTGCTATAAATTTGAAATCGACAAGTGACAATGCTGACTAATTCTTAATGGTAAAATAAGTGATCAGATAGACAACTAAGTAAAATAAAACCCTTGGATTACTCACTGTAACTGATGAGTACTTGAGGATAATGAGTGTTTATTACACAAGGGCAATATTATGGAATTTCTAGTTCAAAAGGGAAAGTATTAAGTTATCATAACATAGCATCCATCATAAGGAGAATTTTCCATGGTATTCCTAAAACAGCAAAGAGGTAGGCCTTACTATTGCCAATTAGGGGAAATAAGACTTGGGGAGCTTAATAAAGCGGAGAGAATCTTAAATTATAAATAAGATTTAAAAGGTGAGGAATGAGGAGGGCAGGCAAGGCAACAACAGCATCATCATGAATAATGGCACAGCAACACTAAGAGGCAGATATTTTTAGCAACACTGAGAAATCTGTTGCTTTTTTCATCAATTATAAATAAAGCTGTTATAAACATCTGTATATAGCAGTTTTTTGTGTGGACATGAGTTTTCCACTCATTTTGGTAAATACCAAGAAGTAAAATTGTTACAGTGCATGGTAAGAGTATATTTAGTCTTGTAAGAAACCACCAAACTGTCTTCCAAAACTGTTTTATCATTTTACATTCCCATCAGCAATAAATGATAACTTCTCTAACTCCACATTCTCCCCAGCATTTGGTGGTATCTGTGTTCTGGATATTGGCCATTCTAAGGAATATGAAGTAATATCTCATGGTTGTTTTAATTTACATTACTCTGATGACATATGATGGTATATGTTTTCATGTGCTCATTTGCCATCTGAATATCTTTTTTGGTGAAGTGTCCTTTAAGGTCTTTGGTCTAGTTTTCAGTCAGGTTTTTTATTGTCTTATTGTTGAGTTTTAAGTGTTCTCTGTATACTTTTAATAACAATCTTTTATTTGCAATGTTATTTTCAAATATTTTTTCCTGATCTGTGGCTTGTCTTTTAATGTTCTTGACAGTGTCTTTCACAGAGCACATTTTTAAAAATTAAGTCCAGATATCAATTATTTCTTTAATGAATCATACCTTTGGTATTACATGTAAAAAGTCATCAACCAAACTCAGGGACATCTAGATTATCTCCTATGTTATCACCAAGGATTTTTATAGTTTTGGATTTTACATTTAGGTCTGTGATCTATTTTGAGTGAATTTCTTGGTGAAAGTATGTAAGATCTATGTCTAAGATTTATTTTGTAGTTGTTTGCATGTCGAAATTCTCTTGGAAGCAACTAAGATGTCCTTCAGTAGGTGAATGGATAAACAAACTGTGGTACACTTAAGACAAAGCAATCTATTCTTCATTGGAAAGAAATGTGCTGTCAACCATGAGAAAACATGGAGGATATTTAAATGCATATTGCTAAGTAAAATAATCCAACCTAAAAAAGCCCTATGTATTATGTAATTTGAACTATGTGACATTCTTCAAAAGGCCAAATATAGACACAGTAAAAAGCGCAGTTGTTGCCTGGGGTTAGAAAGGAGACAGGGATGGATACCGGGAGCACAAAAGACTTTTAGGACAGTATAACTTTGTGTGAAACTACAGTGGTGGATAAATGTCATTATACATTTCTCTTAACTCATAAAATGTATAGTGGCAAGAGTGAACTCTAACATGAACTGTGGGCTTGGGGTAATAATGATGTGACAGTTCAGGTTCATCAGTTGTAACAGATGTACCACTTTAGTGGAGAATGTTTATAATGGAGGAAGCTACACATGTGGCACAGAGGATACATGGGAAATCACTGCTAATTCTCTCAGTTTTGCTGTGAACTTAAACCTCTCTTGAAAATAAAGTCTATTTAGGCTGGCGCCATGGCTCACTCCTGTAATCTCAGTACACTGGGAGGCCGAGGCGGCTGGATCACCTGAGGCCAGGAGTTGGAGACCAGCCGGGCCAACATGGTGAAACCCCATCTCTACTAAAAATACAAAAATTAGCCAGGCATGGTGGCGTGGCAGGCATCTGTAATCCCAGCTACTCGGGAGGCTGAGTCAGGAGAATCTCTTGAACCTGGGAGGCAGAGGTTGCAGTAAGCTGAGATCATGCTACTGCACTCCAGCCTGGGCAACAGAGCGAGACTCCATCTCAAAAAAAAAGAACGTCTATTTAAGAAATAAAAAAAGTTCATTGGGAAAGGAAGTTGATCAAGGTCAAATTGTGAAGGACCTTATAGACAATGTTTAGAATTTTGAAGTTAAGCTAGTAAACTTTTCTAGATGGAAAAAAAAAAACCCCAAAACCCACAAAACAAACAAAGAAAACCCACTTTGTTAAATGCAGAATGGAACCCTGGAATCTAAAGTTGGAGGTCATTTATTTCCTAGTAATAGTAGAAATAGATGTAACTCATTTTCAGAGATTTATTTTCTGAGATTTTTATTTACAGCCCACAATTTCAGAGACCTGTGTTAAAAGCACTTTCTTCAGAAACAGCTCAACTGAGGGCCATTTTGAGACCGGATACATTCTCTTTCTCTTTTTGTGTTAACAGCAGCAGGATTTTTTAACCCAATTTTATATATTTTTAAGTCTGCTAGAAACAGATGTTTTTAAATAAATTGTAAGGAAAAGCTTTTGCTGGTGGGGAGGGGGAATTTGCTTACTCACAGATATTTTGTCATTCCCAACTTTTCAAAGTGTGTTTGTGAGTAACTGTTATACATATGGTCTAGTTCCAGGAAATATCTGACACATACATTTTTGTTCTTAATTATAACTGAAATTAGGTTGTTTGTGACTGTTCTGGGTCATTAATTAACTCTGTCAATGCTGTGATCTAAGCTATTGGAGGAGTATTCTGTCTATTCTTTAAGTAAAAAAAAATAGTCTCTTGTCTTTGGGACAGACAAAGCACTGCTGCACAGCTGCTAAGCACACCAGCTTCAGAAACAAATTGAGTTGTGAGATTAAACACCAGGAGACAGTTAGGGTTTTTCAAATTTGCATGGCTAATGTAAACAGCCCCAAGATCTCATCAGTGAAAGTTGGAAGGGACTTGGTGGGTGGGCTTTCTTTCCCCTGCTGGGAAAAGCAATGATTAGCCCTTGAGGAAATGAAACAAACCAAAACAAAAAGTTGAATCATAAAAACATAGCATGAACACAAACAGCATATTTAAGACTTAGTTTATTCTTTGATGCATGAATATCGAGATAGTATAAAATTCACCTGTAAAATCATCTTGTTATTTTAAGTCTCAAACTTTGTGGTTGTAAATATGCCTTTTTAAATTTTCAAAATGGACAAATAGTATATGCTTAACTAACTTAATGGTTTTATTTATATTTAATTTATCTTCTTTATGAAAGCTTGTTATCCTTTTCAAGAAATATACTTTTATTACAGAAAGATCAACAATCTACTTATTCGTTGACATTAAAACAGTCACTGATTTCTTGTTATCTTCTTTTATAATATAGCTTACATCTACTACTTCTTTCTTATTTTTGCATTTACCACCTACAGTTTAATATGTATGATGTTACATTTGTGATTCTGCAATAGCTGTAAAAATGACCTTCCTGCCCTGGATCCCTCTGATCATTTCTGTATGCTTTAACAATATAAATCTTTCTAATCAATGAAGGTTGAGGCCTTGAAGAATTCTTTATGGTCATGCCCCTGTGCCCAAGGTAGTTTCTGACATAGAAGATATATTTGTCCCTTTATTATTTTCAGATGGATGATTAGATGTTACTACCCAAATTAAAATAATATTGAGCAAAATCTAAAATGCTGTTCATTGTTTTGGCATTCTCATTTCAATCTAATAGAAAGACTCCCCGAGGCAATTTAAGCCAAGAGCAAAGAGAATAAGAGCAAAGAGCAGTCCAAGTATATTAAGTATATTCATATGTGTAATTATTAATCTTACCCAATATTCCAGCTACTGCACAATACTCTGATAAATAAAATATAATTCTCACATCATAATGTTGAGTGATTAATAATGTTGAGAAGTGTTGTAAATATACAGGCGTTTTAGATCATTCTCACACTGCTAATAAAGACATACTTGAGACAGGGTAATTTATAGGGGAGAGGTTTATTTGACTCACAGTTCAGCATGGCTGAAGAAGCCTCGGGAAACTTACAATCATGGCAGAAGGGGAAGCAAACATATCCTTCTACACATGATGGCAGCAAGGAGAATGAGTGAAGGGAGGAAAAGCCCCTTAAAGCATCAGATCTTGTGAGAACTAACTCATTCACTATTTTGAGAACCGCGTGGGGAAATGGCCCTTATGATCTAATCACCTCCCACAAAGTTCTGCTGCCAGCACATGGGGCTTACAATTCGGATTACAATTCAAGATGAGATTTTGGGTGGGGACACAGCCAAACCATATCAACAGGCTAGAGAAAAGGTTCTCAAAATGTGGTTCCTTTAGCAGCAGCAGTAGCATCAACTAGGGCCTTATTAGAAATCCACATTCTGGGCCCTCTCCCCAGAATTACTGATTTGGAAACTCTTAAAGAGAAGGATACCAACAATTTGTTTATTGTAAGCCTCATAGGTGATTCTGATGCTCACTCAATTTAGTAAATCCATGGATGGATAGTGTATTAGTTTGTTTTCACACTGCTATTAAGAACTTCCCTGAGACTGGGTAATTTATAAAGAAAAGAGATTTAATTGACTCACAGTTCTGCATGGCTGGGGAAGCCTCAGGAAACTTACACTCATGGCAGAAGTGGAAAAAGGAACCTTCACAAAGCGGTAGGAGAGAAAGCAAAGTGCGAAAGAGGAACTTCCAAACACTTAAAAAACCGTTGGATCTCATGAGAAATCACTCAGTATCACAAGAACAGCATGGGGGAAACCGTCACCATGATCCAGTCAACTCCCTCCCTCAGCATGTGGGGATTCCAGGTCCCTCCCTGGAGATGTGAGGATTACAACTAGAGATGAGATTTGGGAGGGGATACAGAGCCAAACTCTATCAGATAGCAATATATAAATGCTGTTTTTGCTTATTTGTTAACACAAATGTCATGATTGACAATAACAACTTGGACCTGCTGCTGCTGCTACCAGAAAGGAGATCAAAAAATGTGACATGGTCTAAGACCTAGTAGAAGTTTTTATCCCCTGATGATAAGATCAAATTCCAATCACTTTTTCTGTAACTGTCTCTGACCACATTTTTTAAAGCTTTAGATTACGGACAAACTCACATAAAACTAAAAGTAAAGATAAATAGTAATATTTTGACTTCTGTTGCTGTCACCAGGCTTTTTCAATTACCACATAATGGAAAAACTTGTTTTATCTATACCCTTCTCCCATGAAGCAGGCCATAAAAAATGCTCTGACCTTCTTCTGAAGAAGGTCATGAGACCCTCATTTGAGAGGAACCCTCCTTATATCCAGAAAAAGGGAATGTCTTTATATCTGAAGACACAGGAACACAGAAGAATCTGAATAAACAAGACTTGCTAAGTTCCCTCCACTTTATTACTATTGGATTTTACCCTTTTTGCCCAGTCATACATCTCTACAACTATCCATTTTTATCAAACCTAACCATAAAAATATACAGGTTTCCCTTTTTTGTAGTGTCTTCATTTCTGAAGGCTACTGTGTCATGTAGAAGTTGTATTAAATGAATTTGTATGATTCTCTTTTTGTTTTTTATTATTATTGTCAATTTTTTAGAGAGAGGGTCTCTCTGTTATCCAGATTAGGGTGCAGTGCGTGATCATACCTCACTGTTGCCTTGAACTCTTAGGCTCGGGTGATCCTTCCACCTCAGCGTCCTGAGTAGCTGAGATTATAGGAGTAAGCCACTGTACCTAGCCATTTTTTCTCTTGATAATCTTTTATTATAGATGCCTCAGCCACGACCCCAGAAATGGCTGAGGAAAAAAGTATTCCCCCTTCATCAATAGCTAAAACAAAATAACTATATATATGTATACTATATAGTATGTAAGTTTCAGATATACGTATTTTCTTCTAAGTAACTGAAGAAAACATTTGGACTCTGTTCCAGTCTTATCCATATTTTTTTCTTTCTTTCTTTTTTCATTCTGCTGGTCTATTTTTGTGTCTCTCAGTGAGTCTATGTCTCAGACATTCTAAACTGGGGTGATTATGTACTGGCTTCTGTTTTTGTTCTAATCAGCATTCATTTTACATAAGCAGTAGATATTGATTGTATTGCTAAGAACATTTTTATTTTCTTCAAGACTGTCTTCACAATCTTTGCAGCTATTTACTTCAATTTATCACCTTCATCATAATTGTATAGCACTCATTATGGTCCATGATCTGACTTAAGCTCTTAAACTATATTAACTTATTTATTCCTCACAATAAGTTTTTGAGGTTGGTTTCATTATTATTTATATATTTCGTTATTATTATTATTGTAGAGAACTGTGTTGAAGCACATTGAAGTTATGTAATTACCCATGACCACACAGTCGCAGAGCTGGGCCATGTTACATTTTTTAATCTCCTTCCTCAAAGCTCGAAGTTGCTACTGTTAGCCATAATTGTATAACCAAATGAGCTCAGACAGCATTTATTTACGGAAATGTGTCAGAGATATTGCAGGCTTAGTTCCAGACCACTGCAATCAAGTGAATAACTTAACAAAGGGAGTCACACAAATTTTTTGGTTTCCCAGTGCATATAGAAAGTTTTGTTTATGTTATATCTATTAAATGAGTAACAGTATTATGTCTAAAAAATATGCAGATATTAATTTAAAAATACTATATTAAAAAAAAGCTAATGATTAACTGAGCCTTCAGCTAGCCATAATCTTTTGCTGGTGGAAGGTCTTGCCTCCGTGTTGTCGCTGCTAACTGAAGAGTGTGGTGGTTACTGAAGGTCAAAGCCGCTATTGCAATTTCTTATCTTTCTTTTTTTTGTTTTTGTTTTTGTTTTTGAGACAGTCTCACTCTGCCAGCAGGCTGGAGTGCAGTGGCACAATCTCCGCTCACTGCAACTTCCGCCTCCCGTGTTCAAGTGATTGTCCTGCCTCAGCCTCCTGAGAAGCTGGGACTACAGGCACACACCACCACACCCAGCTAATTTTTGTATTTTTGGTAGAGATGGGGTTTCACCATGTTGGCCAGGATGGTCTCAATCTCTTGACCTCGTGATCTGCCTGCCTCAGCCTCCCAAAGTGCTGGGATTACAGGCGTGAGCCACTGCGCCCGGCCTGCAATTTCTTAAAATGAGACAACTATGAAGTTGCCACATCGATTCACACTTCCTTTTTCAAAAGATATCGCTGTAGCATACAATGATGTTTGATAGCATTTTACACACAGTAGAATATCTTTCAAAATTGGAGGCAATCCTCTCGAACCCTGCTGGTGCTTTATAAACTAATTTTATGTAATAAAATTATGCTAAATCCTTTGTTGTTATTTCAATAATGTCATAGCATCTTTGCCAGAAGATTCCATTTCAAGAATCTTTGCTTATTCAAAAGAAGCAAGTCCTTATTCATTAAATTTTTGTCATGTAATTGCGGCAATTCTGTCATATTTGCAGGCTCCACTACTAACTCTACTTATCTTGCTATTTCCACCACATCTGCAATAATTTCCTTCACTGTAGTCTTGAATCCTTCAGTTTAATCTATGAGGATTGGAATCAACTTTTTCTAAACAACAGTTGATTTTAATATTTTGACCTCCTCCTATGAATCTCAAATGTTCTTAATGGCATCTACAATGATGAATCCTTTTCAAAAGACTTTCAATTTACTTTGCCCATATCTATCAGAGGAATCACTGTCTATGGCTGCTACAGCCTTATATGAAATCTATTTCTTTAATAATAAGGTTTGAAAATGGAAATTACTCCTTAACCCAGGGGCTGCAGAATGGATGCTGTGTAAGCAGACATGAAAATATCATTAAATTTTTGGATAGCTTTATCAGAGCTCTTGAGTGACCAGGTGCATTGTCAATGAGCAGTAATTTTTTTGAAAGTTACTTTTTCTTTTTTTTTTCCTGAGGTGCAGTTCTCAAATGTGGGCTTAAAATATTCAACAAACCATGCTGTAAACATACCTGCTATCATTCAGCCTTATTTGTTTTATTTACAAGCACACGCAGAGTAGATTTAGCATAATTCTTAAGGGTCCTAAAATTTTTGGAATGGTAAATGAGCATTGGCTTCAAGTTACAGTCATCAGGTGTATTAGCCCCTACTAAGAGAGTCAGACTGTCTTTGGAAGCTTAGAAGCCACGCATTGACTTCTTCTCTCTAGTTATGAAAGTTCTAGATGACATCATCTTCCAATATAAGACTGTTTTCATCCCCATTGTAAATCTCGTGTTCAGTATAGCTGCCTTCACTGATGATCTTAGTTATATCTTCTAGATAACTTGCTTCAACTTCTACATCAGTGCTTGCTTCACCTTGCACTTCAATGTTACGGAGATGGCTTTTTTCCTAAACCTCATGGATCAACTTCTGCTAGTTTCAAATTTTCTTCTGCAGCTTCCTCACCTCTCTCATAGAATAAAAGAGGCTGTATTAGGCTTTGGTTTAAAAGACTGTTATGGCTGGTTTGCTTTTCTATGCAGATCACTAAAACTTTCTTCGTATCTGCAACAAGGCTGTTTGCTTTATTTTCCTTTGTATGTTCACTGTAGTAGCACTTTTAATTTTCTTCAAGCATTTTTTCTTTGCATTTACAACTTGGATAACTGTTTGACCCAAGAGGCTCAGCTTTTGGCCTTTCAGCTTTCAACATGCCTTCTTCACTAAACTTAATCATCTCTAGCTTTTGACTTAAAGTGAGAGACATGTGACTCTTCTTTTCACTTGAACACTTAAAGACTATTGTAGGGTTATTAATTGGCTTAATTTGAATATCTTTGTGCCCCACAAAACAGGGAGGTCCAAGGAGAGGGAGAGATACAGGGGAATGGCTGGTCAGTTGACCAGTCAGAACACACACATTTATTAAGTTTGCTGTGTGGTTCATGGCACCCCTAAATGATTACAATAGTAACAGCGAAGATCACTGATCATAGATCACCATAACAAATAAAATGGTCATGAAAAAGTTGAACATATTGTGAGAACTACCAAAATGTGACACAGAAAAGAAGTGAGCACATGCTGTTGGAAATATGGAGCTAATATAATAAATTTCATTAATGCAAGATTGCATTAATGTGTAAAAAATGCATTATCTTCAAAGGGAAGCAAAGCAAAACACATAGTCAAGAAGGTCTCAAATTCATTGTGCGTGTGAGTCACCTACAAGGCTTGCCAAAATACAGAATTTCACTGAGTCAATTTTGCTCTAGAATTAGAGACTGTGGTTCTAACCATTATACTATGTTCTCATCTTTAGTTTTTTGTTTTGTGCTGGTTGTTTGTTTTAAATTCCACTGGGGAGTCTCTCTAATTTCTTTTCCCATTTTTTGAAATTCATTTATTCTTATTGTGGATTTAATCATTCCCAACTAAGATTTTCTGTTGCCTCCATATAGTCTTAGATTAAAGAGTAAATCAACTTGATGTGCTAAGGATTGGGTATAATGAACAGTGCCAGGGAAAGTGTTATTGAAGAGTTGGTTTTAGAACTGGATCTTGAGGGACTTGCATGTGATTTCAAGGGAACATATTGAAGATGAAGTATACTAAAGGACCAAAGCAGAGGCAAAATCACAATGTCATACGGTATCCTGGTATATCCAGGGAGTTGTGGTAATTTTAACATTGTGCATATATAGTGACTGTGCAGCTGGGAAGAGTCCTGGAGTAACTTACTTTAAGTCACAGAGTTAGATCTTGTTCAGCGGTACTTATTTTTTTCAGCCTTTATTTCTCTTTGTAAAATTCTCTCTACAGACAGGAATATCTCCCCCATCATCTTTTCTGGAGATGTCGTGGAGTACAGCCAAGAGGATTGAGCTCAAAAATAAGGTAGACCTTAGTGGGCAATTTGTCTTTCTCTCACTGAAAATCTGTGTGCCTTTGGGTAATTATTAACTTTGCCTTGTATCGTGAAGAAATTACTGTCACCTAGTATTCAAAAAGACTAGTGCTTTTAATTCAAGGGTGACTGACACCTGATTCTAATTTTAACAAAGCAAGTAAAGTAAAGAAGAAAATCCAAACAAATTTATAGGCCAACTTATTTGGTGAGTTTTACATTGTTTGTTTTCAACTCAACATTGTTTAATGTTATTTTTTCATTTTTTATTTTATTTTTTTACATTTTTTAAGTGTGTGCAAATTCATGGGGTACATGAGAAATTTTGTTATTTGTATATACCTTGTAGTAATCAAGTGATGGTATTCAAGGGTATCCATCACCTGAGTTCAATGAATTTTTGTTAAATATAGGCATCCTACTCTGCTATCAAACATTGACTTGATTCCTTCTATCTTATTGTATGTTTGTACCTTTTAACCCAGTTCTCGTCATACTTCCCCCGCCTCTCCATTCATCCTTCCCAGTCTCTGTTATCTGTTTTTTCACTCTCTACCTCTATGTGTTCAATTTTTTTTTTTTTTTTTTTTGAGACTGAGTCTCACTCTGTCACCCAGGCTGGAGTGCAATGGCGTGATCTTGGCTCGCTGCAACCTCCGCCTCCTGGGTTCAAGTGATTCTCCTACCTCAGCCTCCTAGGTAGCTGGGATTATAGGCACCCACCATCATGCCCAGATAATTTTTTGTATTTTTGTAGAGACGAGGTTTTACCATGTTGGCCAGGCTGGTCTTGAACTCCTGACCTTAGGTGATCCACCAGCCTCAGCCTCCCAAAGTGCTGGGATTATAGGCATGAGCCACCGTGCCCCACCACGTGTTTAATTTTTTAAATTCCCACATGTAAATGAGAACTTGTGTATTTGTATTTTTGTATTTTTAACCTATTGCTAATAAAATACATTTATCATAAAAGTATATAAACATTTTCCTACAAAATATAAATAGGTTTAAGTCATACAATACATGACAAAACACTATAGCAAAATGATTCATAGTACCCTGTAGAATCTCTAAGGCAGTTCCGATCTGCCTCTAATTTCTACATACAGTTAACATAAATTTCTCATTTTTCCCACTACCTCGTCAACTCAAAGTCTTTAGCACGCCATGCCACCACTGGCTGTCAAGCAAAGTAGCCAGCAGGCAACAGTATCCTTAGAAATTCCTGTTCCGAGGTATATTTTAAAGTGAGCACCCATGTTCTGTCTCTGAAGGAAAACTGTTACAAATATTATATCAGAAAGAACTGGAAAAAGAAACTGATATTAGCAGGTGTTAAGGTGATTCAAATATGTATCACATGCTATGAGATGAGGCCATTGCAAGAACTAGAGATACCAAGTTCATCTCAGCTAGTTATAATAAACCTCTTAATGTTAAACTTCACACTTACTGGCCACAGTCTTATATTTTGGGCTTTTGCTGAATTTTAATTTGATTATCTTTTGTTTTCTCTTAACCAGGTAAAATTTCATTGAAGGTCTGATATAGTATATTTCTTTTTTCATCTTCTTTGAGGTATAATAATTGATTAATTAAACAATCAATCAAGTGAAGAGAGTTGTTTCTATTGATTGAAATGCTTTGTCATGATGTGATAAAGCATCAAAATAGCTGAATTATTTATCTAAGAGCATCTGTGGTCCCCTAAGATATTATATCCATCAGTAATAGATGTCAGATTATGGCATGATAAGTAGTCTAAAAAGGTGACATATTATTATTGTTAATATTTTAATTCTGTATGTAATGATAAGCTTGTCAAATTCATCTATAATTAAATTAAATTAAATGTTCCTCATTTATACTCTTCTAATTTCTTTGGGTATATAATTTCATAACTGCATGCCATAGCAATTTATGACATGTTGTGAAGAGAGTTGTAAAATATGCCTTGAAGCAGTAGCTTATGTTGGAAGAAGTTAAACTATATACTAAAAGCCTATGCATAAGAACACAATTGAAAATAGTTTTCAGAGAGTACAGTCTTTGAGAGATAATATTTTAAAAATAATTTGTAAGCACAATAATGTTTCTGGAAAACATTTTGTGTTTAGAGTTTTAAAATTTTGCTTCTATTCTATTACAAAAATTCACCTCTGAATTCAACAGTATTTGTGTTTAAAGCTATATTTAAGTAGAAAAAATAACATAAATAAGCCAATATACCTTTATCTAAGAACATAATTAGACAAGTTCATTGCCATGCATATTTACAACGTAAGACAATTTAAAAGAGAGCAATATGTTAAAATATAACTTAAGTGCTATAACATATACATTTGTGAGTATGTGTGTGTTTGTACATTTCTGTGAAATTAATACTATTCTAATATAGTGTGACTTGGGCTATAAATTTGCAGGTCAGTTTTCTCAATTTTTTCTTATATCCTTAATATTTTTAAAATACATGGATATTTTTGTTGATAATTGTACTTTCAGTTCTACAACCAGCATTTATTAAATGTGGATAATATAGTTTCAAATTTTACCATCAATATACTGTATATTTCCTCATTAATGGATATACACTCATGATTATTATCCTAAAAATTAAATATCACCTGTGCTTGATGATTCTAGAAAGCTTTAAACATATGAATCAATTAGAATATTTCTATCAAGGCACTGAAGAACTGAATCTGAGTCATGAGACATACTTTTTAATCTCTCTAGCATTCATAAATGTGAGAATGTCAATTTAAGCTAATCTCTGCCGAGACTTTGATCTAGACTTTCATTCTACATTTAAATAATTGTGAGTGTGTTGTTTTAATTGGTTTTGACTTTTTTTTTGGTTAAAGGATATTAATAGAACTTACAGATTTGATGAAGCTTTGAAGGAAAAATCTGACTGCTGAAGGCAATACATAAAATATCTCTTTGTCCTTAACTGAAATAATATTTAGAATCTACAAAGGTGAAGAAAGCAAAAAGTACATGTCTGTTATTACTGAAACTGAACTAATTACAAAATACTAATCACTGAGCTCAACATCTTTATCAAGTGAAGAATTCATCAAATTCCCCAAAATCTGCCTTTATGTAGTTGCAAAGATGCAACTATTAGCAACAGTGAATAAATGTAGGTCTGTAGCAACCTCAGTTCTTGCGTTCTCAGAAGAAAGAATTCCACTGAGGGGCATAAGGCAGAGTGGGAGACTGAGGCAAGTGTGGGAACAGAAGCAAAAATTATTAAAACATTTTAGAACAGGAACGAAAGGAAGTAAAGTACACTTGGAAGAGGGCCAAGAGGGTGACTTGAGAGATTCAAGTGCACAGCTTGACCTTTGACTTGGGGTTCATACATTGGCATGCTTCTGGGGTCTTGTTGCCTTCTCCCCATTTCTTCCATTGGGGCAGGCTCTCCACATGCACAGTGGCCTGCTAACACTTGGGAGGGGCCACGTGTTCAGTGCGTTTACTGAAGTTGTAGGCATACTCACTTGAGGCTTTCCTAGAAGGTCAAATACCGGTTAAACTTTGCCATTTTGCCTCGTAGTTTGCATGCTTGAGCCCACTCACCCAACTCCTAAGATCTTATTGGGAAGCTGCCAATCACCAGTTTCAGATTTCTTCTACTGGGAGACTGCCTTTCCTTGGTGCTGGCTGCTACCAATTATTATTTTAGAGAGACAACGTAACAACTGCCTCACCATCATCACATGCTGGTCACCTGACAGTCCGGTTTGGGCAGGTCTATCTCCTGCCCTGCTCATATCTAACTACCCACTGTAACAGAACCATGTCCTTACACTGTCTAGGTCTGTTTACAAGGTACCATCTACTGTATGATAACAAAATAGTCTTTAAAATCATTTTAATGAAAAACATAATGTCTCTATATCAAATTCATTTTGAAAATTTTTCATCATTTAAGTTTGAGGTGCTATCTGTGAATAATTTATCATTTTGAAAATTTGAGTTTTATTTATTGTCTATTTCACCAGACTAAAATGAAAGTAACAGAAACTCATAGATATTTTTCTTTCATGTTTTTTTCCACTGTTAACCCCTGAAATTTGAGTCAGGTCTCTGTTAATTTAGAAAGTTTATTTTGCCAAGACGCAGCCTCAGGAAGTCCAGAAGACATGTGCCCAATGTGGTGAAATGTATAAAACATGAACATTTATAAAAAATGTATAAGACAGCTTAGTTTTATACATTTTAGGGAGACGTGACACATCAATCAATATGTGTAAGAAGTACATTGGTTTGCTCTGGAAAGGTCGGACAACTTGAAGCAAAGGTGGGAAGAATTGAAGAGGGGAGGGGGCTTCCAGGACACAGGTAGATAAGAGACAAATGGTTGCATTATTCTGAGTTTCTATTTAGCCTCTCCAAAGAAGGCACTCAGCAATGCATCTATGTCAGTGGGCAGAGGGGTGACTTTGAATAGAATGGGAGGCAGGTTTGCCCTAAGCAGTTCCGAGCTTGACTTTTCCCTTTAGCTTCGTGATTTGGTGGCCCCAAGATTTATTTTCCTTTCACACCAACAAAAAAGCTTAAGGAACTCAGTCTAAAGGTGTTCTTACTTGAATGGATAAATTATCTTTTAGTTAGAATTAGAAAAATATGTCTGTCTACCTAGTGAGAAAAATATTGCTTCTGAGATTATGTAGTTGTAATTGTACACAATTTTCACTGACACCACAAACTAACATACAGACCAAACATCAGTTGAATGTTCATGATTAGGATACAGTTAACCCAGAGATGGGAACTTGTATTATATAGAGAAAGTTGACAATAGAGTAGTAGGAAGAATTTTTCCACTAAGAGGGTTTTTGAGATGGGCAACCAAGAAAAATTGATATAGCAAATACAGGAGAATTTAGTCATGTATTATTTAATAGGCAGGATCTCAGTGTTTCTGGTTTTTCCCATGAGGCTGAAATACTGGACTAAAGTCCCATTTCCATCCTGCTGAAGTTCCTTTGTTCTCAATACTGCTGAAGTTCAGTTATCAAAAGGAGCACTTCTTTTTCCTGATTATCACATCAGAGCAACTAGGAGCTGACATAGTAGGGCTGGTTATCCATTTGAAGAGTTTGCCCCCAGCTGAGTTCTTTTCAGTTTAATCAGAAAGGTAGAGAAGCAATTAGAAAATAGTTGCCCCAACACTAGAGATATATCCTGGAGCCAGCTGTGCTGTCAAAAAACATTTCCTATGCATGGCAATTAAAAAACGATTGGGAGCCTATTTCCAGTAAGTCACAGAAGAGACACTATAAAGGAGGTGGGCAGGATGTGGCTTAACTGTGTCACAGGGAAGCTACAGCTGCTGGAAGTGAAAACAAAAGGAAAAAAAAATCAAGATCAGTATAAAACACAAAGTATCAGGAAGTTTTAAAAGATATAAAAGAGCAACTGATCTATATTATTGGTGAAAATTAAATCTACATTACTTCTAAGTAATAATACTCACATATTATCTGAATTTTCATTTTTCTACTGTTTGTATTGAGAAAACAGACCTGTGTTATTGTATTTATTTTTCATTCAAGCATCCCAACCCTCTGCTGAACTTTTCAATTCACTTGATACTACTTAGACCTTTCCTGAACAGAGTGGGTTGGAGTGAATGATGTGGAAATAAAAGTGAATCCTGGTAACTCAAAGGTTCGTAGAGAGTTTGTAAATCTCTATTTGCCACAAATGCTATATATGAATGAAGTACATATATTAATGATATTGAATCAGATGAGATTTGCAGGGTACCTCTCTGAATTAGTAGAAAGTCCACAATATAGGAAAATTTTAAGAGATTAATTTTATTAACTTCAAATATTGAATCATTTATAGAAACACGAAGGAGACAGCCAAATTTTAGTTTGGATTGTATTGAGGAAACAAAGAACCTCAAAATTTAAGTGATGTAAGACAATAAGAGTTTATTTTTCACTTATATAACAATACAATATGGTGTTCCTGGCTGCCGGGCAGCTTTATTCAATTTACTGATTTAAGATTACATATCCTTTCAAGTTTGCTATTCTTTAGGCTTGAGAGTCTTGTACCTAGAGAAATGACAAACAGAGAATGAAGATATTCACACACCTCATAAAAGCATCATTGCTACTGATATACTGCTGGTGAAAATTAGTCATGTGTCCAGAGTTGTAGGCAAGATGGAGTGGTGATACTAGAAAATATTGTCCCTGCAGCCAGGTGTGGTTGCTCACACCTGTAATCCTAGCACTTTGGGAGGCCTATGCGAACAGATCATGTGAGGTCAAGAGTTTGACACCAGCCTGGCCAACATGGTGAAACCTTGCCTTTACTAAAAATACAACAATTAGCTGGGTGTGGTGAGGCACTCCTGTGGTCCCGGCTACTCGGGAGGCTGAGGCGGGAGAATCGCTTGAACCCAGGAGGCAGAGGTGGCAGTGAGCCAAGATCCCGCCACTGCACCCCAGCCTGGCAACAGAGTGAGACTCGGTCTCAAAAAAAAAAAAAAAAAAAAAGATATTATCCCTGGTTGACCACCGAAAGCTCAATCAGAGCTCCACACTATGGAGGGTAGAGCACAAATTTGGTAGACTCCTAGGCACCAAAATCTTAGTTCTTTCTGCTTTTATCTGTCACAGGTGTGTATAACAAAGTGATTGAATAAGAAATACGTGATTATCAACTTCTAGGAATATAAGCGTGTATGAAATATGGGTTCTGTAAGAATTAATCACAGTTTTACAATTATTTTTTAATATATAAGAAAGGAAACCAAATATTAACATTTATACTTACGTTCAGTATCTCTTTGACAAGACCTCAGTAAAAAATGAGTAGCAGTAAACACACTAAACTGCAAGAAACATATTGAGTTAGAAAGTACACTGATTCATAAGATTCATATTCTAGCCATCAGTTCTGCAGTCAAACTAAGTGTCTGACCTTGGGCAAGTCACTACACATTTCTTATTCTATCATATCTAACACAAGTAGGAGGGTTAAGTTAGTTCATATGTTAATCTCCATACAGTTATAAATTTTTGAGAGTTTCTATTTTAGATTTCAGCAGAATGATTTTTATGGATCTAAAACTTCAACAGCTACTGGATATTTCAGTGTAAAAGATCCTGGGAGATTCATACATAATCAAAGCTGAGATTTATTATGTGATTATGTGCCATCCATTGTTTCAAATACTTCACTTATGTTTATTTATTTACATTTCTCAATAGTTCTACCATGCATGTTGTATAATCTCCGTTTACACACATTTATCCATGATGTATATACATTTCAATATATGTTTGTATATATGTATCTGATCTGTGATAGGAATTTAGAGATACCGTATCCCACTTCCCTGAGGATATATTCCTGAATTAGCCTAGTAACTAAAATAGAAACTATGTTCTAATAAATCAGAAAATCATAGCCATCATGTGAAAATCTTTGGAAGCAAAAATCATAAAAAAATTTGCAGTATAAAAAATCACAATGACAGTGAACTGATAATGCTAAGTTTAATATAGAATATCAAATTATTTTATATAGAGTAGATAGAAAAGATCTAAGGAAGAGTGAATTAAATGATTAAACATGAAGAGATGGTATCAGTTTGTGTAAAATATCTTAAAAATGACTCTCTGATCTGGAAAGATGAAAGCAATGTGATAAAATTAGAATCTCTACAATTGCGGAGGCATTAATTAGGTAAACAAATATCTGCCTATCTAATTTTAATTCCTAGACATATAATTTGACATAGGTCAAATTTAGTTTC
Source organism: Homo sapiens (assembly GCF_000001405.40). NCBI lineage: Eukaryota > Metazoa > Chordata > Mammalia > Primates > Hominidae > Homo > Homo sapiens. The sequence continues at coordinate 84,040,772 of NC_000013.11, forward strand.
CCATAAGGTTTTCAAAAACTAAAACTACATAAAGGCTAAAGAGGGCTGGAATGTGTGTGTGTGTGTGTGTGTGTGTGTGTGTGTGTGTGTGTAATGTAATACATTTTTAGAGGTATTAGAAATATTTTTCTTTTATACATATGAAATTCATTCATTTACTACCCATTCAAAATATATTCAGAAATGATTGCAAATGCACAAGTGCCTGAGATTCATAACATGGTAATAAAGTAAGTCCTGAGGCATGCTTTCATGAGTCATGAAGTATGTCATGAGACAGACTAATACATGATAAAAAATGAGATGTGTCATAGGGAACTTTCAGTTATATTTTCATCAGAAGAAGAAGAGTTTTTGTTGTCATTTTATTGTTGTTTTACTGTAAGAATCAGAGAAATCTACACAGGAGATGTGCCTTCTGTGTTAGTCCTTGATGACCATGCTCAGGTAACTGTGACAATAGTTTGAACCCAGAGAAATTTAGAAAAGCAAATTGACAGATCTCCTGGGAAAGTTGATGTATCCTGCTTTGTGTTTACTGAGTTTGAAGTATCAGTTGGAAATCCAGGTGATGATGCTGCTGATCAAGTAATTGGAAGTATGAATCTAAAGCTCATTAGGCAGGTTTCAGCTAGACATTAGGAAGTCATTTGCATAGCAGACAAGATATTCTTGGGTTGCAGAGACTTTTCAAAAGAGAAATAAAGAAGTATTTGAGGATAGATGGATAATGAATGGCAATGTGCAAGTCAAATAAGACTCTTTAGACCAGCATTCAGGAAGGTGGCCTATTTACCTAAAGAGGTTCACTCAGTAATGTCAGATATCATCCACTTTAAGAGACTCTTTATCTTAGGCTTGATGTAGACAAGAACAATTTTCCGTTAGAATGGCTGAGCCCACATTCTCAAAGAAAAACATACATATACAGTCAACCTAAATTTAGACAGCATGAGTGCATACCCAAATTCCAAATCATATATAAAGAGAGATTCTGGTATTAGCTATCAACATTTTACTTATACATATAATAGTAAAAACTTTTAGGAATCTTTAATAAAGATAATTTCTTCTATTGTAAGCTCTCCATTACTTTTTTCCTGCTGATAACATTCCAGTATCTGTCCTAAACTAGTTTATTTGAGGAAAAAGATAAAATTCCCAGATTTGGGGTTTATATATGCTAAACAGTAATTAATAAGTACTTTTAAAATTATAGTATCTCTAAGATATTTTCATTACCTCCAGTATTGTCTGCAAAATGTCAACTGCTAGTTACTTTATCCATATGAATAGATTCTGTTTCTTTTTCTGTACCTTGAAGCATTTTGCTGTACTTTCTGTTCACTTTTTCTGCATTTTCTATGTTACACATGAGCTGGTTCTATACTTCACATTTTTGTTTGTAGTATGCTATGGATTGCTTACGTTTGCTTTTTTGAAAAAAAAAAAACAAGTGAATAGTAATTTTCCAATTGGAATATAAATTGAAAACAGGAATACATTTCCTGTTACGTGTTTCTTCCTTCTCAGCACAAAGGTTTTATTCATTTAATCATTTAATACCAACTTTATTGTGAACTGACAGTATTTTTAGGAACCAGAATCGTGAAAGTTACTCAGAAAGGAAATAATCAGAGAAGTAGGAGTGCAGTGACCTGGAAGGCAAAGGATGATAAATTCAAGTAATGTGAAGTAGGATGAGAACTAATACTAGTATCTGATAATTAGATACAATTAATGGCCTTTGTAAGAGAAATCTGAGAAAAACAATGAATGAGAAAAGATGGATGCAATAGAGTAACACATGAAGGGTTACTTAGAGTCGGGATGTTTTTGAACCTACATGTGATTTCTAAATATATCATGAATGTTAGTTAATTTATCACACTTTGAATTATTGCAAAAATACTTTTTGTAGCTTTTAGTTTTAGCCTTTAACTACATTCACATCTAGTTTAATTATATTAACAAAATGCAAATTACAGAGGAATATATACTACCATAGTGAAAAATTTGTCTTCCTAAGTAGGTAAATTTTATTTAATAACATTTTTGCAATTATTGGAAATTTTTGCCCAGCCCTTTTGTGAATAATTATACATAAGTGAAGTATAAATTAAAAGGGCTTTATTATTTTTTCATTTATTCAAAAAATATCTAAATTGTAGAGTATTTGTACTGAGAATCTCGGAAGTGTCAGCACTGCTGTGGACTCTCTTGTTTCCCTAAAGAAGTCTGGGTATTGAAAACTGGTGTGTCATAGTCAAGAATCTGAGTTCAGGAGTATCCACAGAGAGGCTTCCAAGTCCTTCACATATCTGCTTGTCCCAGTTTGGATATTTTCCATGAACTAATTCTATTTCGATGTGTTTTCATGTCTGGAGACCTCCATTTTCACATATAGAGAAGAAGAAATTGATGAGGGTCTTCAGTGCCATTGTTTCTTTTATGGAACACATTCCTTCATAGTTACTTGGTTCCGTATTATCAGGTGTGTCCATCTGAATGTACCACTCGACATTCCGGGATTCAGTGAATTTCTGGATTTCTTCCATACCACATAAGCATGAAGAGGATCTCCTCATGAGGCTTCCCTCTGCCTCATGACTTTATGCTCCTGAAATTCCTGTTAATACCTCCACTGGATGATGGCGGGGACAGGGGGTGCAGAAACCTCTGCCTGAATCCCTCTGCTTTTGTTTTCCTCTCCCATTCACCTATGGAAATCTAAGTCTTTCTACGCCTAGGCATTATGTCCTTCATTATTTGTAAGTCACCATACTGTGGCAAAATGAATTTTCCACATATTATTCTTACCATGTGACTCACACTCTTCTCATTGACAGGTGGGGCTTATGTTTCCTACTCTTCAATCTTGGTAAGGGCTTCTTTCTTCTCTGAGCAACTAAAGCAGCAGGAGTGATGCTGTGATTTTCAAGGCCAGAGAATAAAACCGGTAGAGTTTCACCTGGCTTGCTGTCTCAGGGATCGTGCCTTTGGAACCCTGAGCATCCACATGAGAAGTCATGATAGTGTGATGCTAGTAAGCTGGAGAGGCCATTTAGCTAGAGAAAGAGGATGGTGCCTGAAGGTCCTTAGCTGCTCTAGCCTCTGTTCTGGACTGTATAGCCTAAGCACTACAATACGAAGGAAGGAGACTTTTGACGGCCCTAGTCAGATTGCAGTCTGACTGCAATCTCATGAAAGACTCTAAGCCAGAGACCACTCAGAAAAGCTGCTCCTGAATTCATGACCCACGTCTCTTTTTTTCCTGTTTTGAGCTCCTAAGTTTTGGGGTGATTTCTTATACAGCAATACATAATCAATACATCTATATTTTTTGATATTCGATGATTTGCTTACAATATCTGTTGCCAGTATGTTTTTCATCTTGTTTTTTTTCTTTAAACTTAACAATGTCCATTAACATAAAATAGTCATTTTCTGTTAAAAATGTTGGTGTCATATGATATTTAAATAGATTTTGTTACTACAAGGTATCTGGAAAACTCTTCTAAATTTTCTTCTCGTAATAGTTTGTAGCTTTCTTGTAGGTTATATGACACAATTAAATTATGTCTGTGTGTGTGTGTACTTTGTGATAATCTAAGTTTGTTTTTCCTACTACTTTTTAGCTAATAATAATTAACCTTCCCCCCATAGCTAATTTGAAATTTCAATATTGCCATATATTTCATTGGCTTGTTTTTGCTGTAATAACAGTGATCTGATAAATAAAAAAACATGGTAGAAAATACTTAGTTCAAATAATTGAATATATATTACATTTCCATATATTTCTATTTTTAATTTATTTTTTCTGTATTTATGGATGCTCAGTAGCAAATTCTTTAAATTATTAGGATTTATGGCATATTTTACATATTACAAGGCAACAGTAATCCTCCTTGCTCTTTCTCTTTTACAAAGCATATTTTGTTACCTATCCTTGTAACTTTCTTCTTCCAGATAAAACTCAGAATAAATTTCTTCTAATCCAAAAAAGTCACATCGTGATAGTTTAAATTTGCATCAAATATATAGGTCAATCAATAGTAGAAATAAGTTTTAAAATAGTGCATCTTCCCATCTACAGTCATAGGAAGTTAACAGAAAAAAATACAGTGAAATAAGAGTCGGCAACTTATTAACTATCATGTCATCATTACTCTGTGTTATTGTCCATCACCGTTAAAGGAGTTGGTACTAAAATAGATCAAAGAAGATGAGAATTGCCATTAGTGTGATTACATTGAAGGCTACTCAGAATTTATTTCACTTGCTCTTATGTGTCTGGCTCCTACAGTAAAATGGCTTTATTTGCATGATTAGGGCTGTTAACCAAAATGTGTTGATCTAAAAATGAAATGAAAACAGTAGGTCATTTTGAATGGAAAAGATAAACAGTATTATAAATATTGTAAAATCAGACAAATTATCTAATGTTTATTAATCAACATTGAGATAAAATGCAGTGTGCAAAGTCCAATATGGATTAATAAATAAATGTTCTGTGATTACAGCATACATATTTCATGCCCAATGACCTATAAATTTTTTCTTAAGTACAATAAATACATATCATCATATTGAAAATTTACAATAAGAAATAATGAGACTTTATTCTTTATTCATGTAGGATCATCTGTTTTGAATTTTTATTCCAATATGTACAATGGGTGAATGCTTATCTGCTGTACTTTTAAAGTGTAGGTTAAATATCACATCCTTATGCAGCCATCCTAGGGCCTCTCATTTCAGGCAGAGTGTATCACCCCAATTCTGTTTGTCCAAAGCAGCTATTGGATTGCTTTGGTACATAGGAAGTTTATCATAGTGCTTGGGACTCCAAACACTGAAATCAGCCCTGGGCTTAACCCTTCATTCATCAATCACTGGCTCTTCAGCTGTGAAAAAGTTGCTTAATTACTCTGAGCTCAATATTTTGATATCCAAGCTTACTGTCACATTAGTTGCAGCAGAGGTTTTAATTAAGATGATCTTTTCAAAATATTTAGCTAAATACTTAACATATATGTAGTATCTAGGAAATAGTAGACAATAGATGGTAGCTAACAATAGGTGATAAAATGATGATGACTGAATCATTTGCTGACAGTTTAATGATCTGGACTTCTTAGAGGACGGAATTATGTTTTAATTATTTGTACAATATTTGCTATATTACAAATGCCCAATTAAGGCTTGTTAAATGATAAAATGCATGGAATTAAGAAAAATAAATAAACAGAAGAGAGAAGTTAAAGTGACCATTCTGTAAAACTCTTTTCTAGGAAAGGGAAATATATTAATCTCTGGCATCTGGGCTACATGGTGCAAATATATGTTTTCTTTCTGTGATTTTCAGAGGAATAGTAGTTCTTCTATTGTGCAAGAAAAAAATTTCCCCAAAGACCCAGTCCATTAAGATTATTTACCAGATAAATTATAATCTCAAAGGTATCAATTATACCCAAAAGGACTCTTGAGGATTACCATGACACCATCAGGGAAAGCAGGTATCTGCATGACCCTGATGCTAATGATTACTGTTTACAAGTGAATATCATCCCCAGAACACTTCCTCCTACTGGGGGCTAAATACAAATATTCTGGCATTCCTTAACATCAGTGATTTATTGCTCTAATTATCCTTTACTGTCCTTATGGTACAAATAAGAGTAAGGGCTCAGTAAAGTTTGTGTATGTACCTTTTTAGTTTGCTTTAAAAATGGACATTTGGCTCATTTGGCAGATGAAAATTACATGCAATTGATAATTCCTTTTTACAGTCTGGTTTATTCCTTCCCTATACTTTCTCATAAATACTTTCATGCTCACTTGGCCTCTTATATTTATTATATTCATGCTAAATAATATACCTCATGTAAATAATAAAATAATATACCTAAATCACTTCACTACAGATAGGTAAGCCTGTTTTGGTAATAATTACAATGGTTTCTTTATTTTTCTTTCTCACAGGGATGTCTCAGTTATTAATATCCTGTGTAATGTTTTTAAACTCTTGACAGATATGAATCTTCAGGATTCACACACAAGGAATTGGAATTCCTGAAATTAAAATGCTTAGATACTTTAAGGAATTTTTTTTATTATACTTTAAGTTTTAGGGTACATGTGCACAACGTGCAGGTTAGTTACATATGTATACATGTGCCATGTTGGTGTCCTGAACCCAGTAACTCGTCATTTAACATTAGGTATATCTCCAAATGCTATCCCTCCCCCCTCCCCCCACCCACAACAGGCCCCGGTGTGTGATGCTCCCCTTCCTGTGTCCATGTGTTCTCATTGTTCAATTCCCACCTATGAGTGAGAACATGCGGTGTTTGGTTTTTTGTCCTTGCGATAGTTTGCTTACTTTAAGCAATTTTTATACCCTTCATTATGAATATAATAAAATTATTTTGATATACATGAAGTTTAAGAATAAGTACAAAGAACCATAGCCTATAGAGAATATTCATATAGTGAAAATGCCAGTGGGCACTGCTGAGTAATATCTAATCATGTAACATTCATACTTTTTAGCAAGGTTAATAGTACTCACAGAAATATGTAACAGAGTGGCAACGTTAAGGACTTATTTAGGTAATAAAATTTTTTATTTTATATAATACTTCTCAGATAATATATATGAAACATACATAAAAACTGATTAATATTTATTTTATTTCCAAGACTCACTGGTAGCAGCAGACACAACCATAAACACACAAGGCCATGGCTGAAGTCAATGAAGGACCTTTTCTCTTCCATATTCTCCAATAAATATAATGAATATTGATATGGATATGTAAATAACTATTACATATGTATCTGATACAGTACTGCCAAAATCATTTTATACAACCACTATTCATTTATATCAACCTTCATATTTAATATTTTCATTGCTCTTTTTTCTACATTTCCTTATTTCCTTTGGGATAGTTTGCTTTTGGCCTGAAAACCACCCTAAAAATACCTTTTAATATAACCTTGTGGGTGATAAATTATCTCAAATTTGGTTGTCTAAAGATATCTAGATTACCCTAGATTACCCCTTCATTTTTTAATAATATTCTTGCTAGGGAGAAAACTCTAGTTTTATCATTTTCTTTCAGCATTTTAAAGCCACAATTTTCATCACTGTTTTTGCTGTCATTATTTGTGTTGAGAAAATATCCATAAGTCTATATGTTACTGCTTTGAAGGTAAAATGTCATTTATATTTCTTGATCTTATAAAAATTTCTATTTTTTTCCTTCAGTATTCAGTAGTTTAATCACATAACTACATGTAGCTTTCTTGCCAATCATCTTGCCAAACATTTTCAAAATTAGAACATTCAAAGTTTCCCTGTTGACTTCTTAATATAGGTTATTTTATATTTCAGTTTTAAAATTATCATTTGGGTCTTTTTAATTATTTTCATTTTTTTCTACCAAAAATCTGAACATTCTCTTATATCTCTGTACATTTAATATTAAAAGTTATTTAAAAATACTATAATTCCATGTCCAGGATTACTTTTGTTTTTATTATCTAGTTTTCTCTTGTTTCTTCTTTCTGTGTTTTAACTTCTCTATGTGCTTGATTTTTTTTTTACTGAATGTCAGGAGTTGTATAACATTTGATAGTGTAAATGTAATTTGAAGTTCAAGGTAAAGTTATGTTCTGAGAAATTTTACCTTAGTTTGTGTAAGTCAAATGAGGAGGCCACGAATCTGGCATTTAACTCGTTTCTGGCATTAATGTTACTGAAGATTTGGCTTCAGGCTCTATGAGGGCAGGTCTCCAGATTTGCCCTAACTCCTAGACTATAGGTCTCTTGGGTTTTAACTCAAAGTGTGGGGAAATTATCAGCTGTTTCCTCTTGGGAGACCCTGGACTTTGTCCATCAGCTTCTAAAAGGTTATCAACAAAACAGTGCTTTTTTTTTTTTTTTTTTTTTTTTTTTTTTTTTTTTTTTTGCCTTCAGCTCTTCTTCAGAATAAGTGAACAGCCCTAAAGAAAAATTGTTCTCAAATACTAAGCTTACCTTCCTATCTGTCCCTGATATATTTGCCTGGCAACATTTCATTATGATGTTAACTTTTTAGTAACTTCAAACAGATTTTTAAGCACCTGAATCAGATATACTAGTTGCCTTTAGCCATGAAGTTGATCAAGTTAACTTGTTCATCCATATCAGAAACAAAAAAGAAAACCTTTTTTTCCCTCTATTTACATTCACTCTATTGCAGATCTCATAGCGTCTCGTCTTTCAGTGTAATTTATATGATGAAACACCCCAAATTGAATTTCTACATCTCTTTTGAATTGTAGATACTTAGAGCCAACTGTCTATTAGATCTTGCCGTCTAACTAATAAACATGCTAAATAAATATTACCCAAACAAAATTGCTATGATCCCTCTAAAATTACTCCATCTACAGTCTTATCCATGTCAGTTCATTGGAATTCCAAAATTTCAGTTGTATCGAACAAAACCTTGGAGCCCTTATTAACTTCCTCATTCTCTCATACACCATATCTATTCCCCAGCAAACATGCTAGATCTACCTGTAGAAAATACTCTTGTACTTCTACTGCTACCACTTGAATTGAAACCACCAACATCTCTCTTCCATATGGCCTCTTTTCTGAGTGGCGAGGTTCAGAAATTAGTCAGTAAAGCAAGGATTGTCATAAAGCTGATAAACATGGATGTAGAAGCCAGAAAGTCTAAGAAAATTACCTTTAGTTTATCCATTCATTGAAATGAACAAAAATTTTACATAACTCATATGATGCTAATGAGGAAGAAAGGAATTAATACTTAACGTTTGTAAAATATAACATCATACAATAAATGCTGTGTTAGCAATTATTATAGTATATACTCCTTGTTTTTTTTATTTGCTGTTACTGAAGGTAATAATAAGACCTAAAATTATAAAATATTTGAATCAAAGGTTATCATACTTTTAGCAATTAAATCATTGTTATATCCAAATGTGCACTTACATTTTTCATAACAAATAAAATATACTAGAGTAAATATTTCCTACTTGGGAGGAGTGAAAGAATCAAATTCTCAGTGTTGGCTGTTTTTTTTTTTTTTAGCTTATAAATAAAATGGCCTGTTCTTTGGCTTCCTTCCTTTACTCCCTGCATGCCACTGTAAGAACTTATAAAAGGATCTTGGCTTCAATTCTGCTGAACATAATGGCCTAAGTTCTATGTTAATGCCTGTTGTCAAGAATGAAAAATTTTGTATTTTTTTCATCATTTTGCTAGGCTCAGTTTAATCACCATTCATCATGCTGTCCTATCCTTCAAGCCCTCAGAAACCGACTAAAGGAAAAGCTCAGTGAAGGAATTACTTTGTGTTCACTCTTCAAGAAGCTGATTTATTAATATATTCTAATTTTAGAGAAACACTTTCATCTAAAATACAGTTATCTCTCACAATACACATCACTACAACAGAGTCTATACATTATTATTAAAATATAGAGTACTTAGTTGGATTCCAAATCAGGAAACAGTACTTCACAAGAATAATGGCACTGGAATAGTCAATGAAATAATAAATAAAAGAAATTCATATTTAAAAGAAAAAACAGTTTTCTAAGTAAGCAGGCTCTTTTTAAAGGAATAGATGTATATTTTTGTTTAACTGAGCATCTTAATAAGTTTAGGTCACACACAAAAAAAGGAGCTTGGAGCTAAAATTGTCTCTGCATTCTAGAGGGAGGAGGAAGAAGAAACATTAAAATAGCAAGTTGCTGGTACACTCACTTTGTGCATTGGGGGATAGTAGAAAAGACTTGGAGAAATAGATTTGTAAACTATTGGCTTTAAGTTTTTTGCTAAGTGAGTCAACTGTAACAGTTCCACTCTTCCTCTCAAATTCATCTTCCAATCTCTGCACCCTTTTGGTGTAGATAGGAATGAAGATAAAATTTTTGTGAGTGGTGTGTGCAAGTACTCAGGGAAAGCTACTGAGTTTGATGATAAGGCACACCTCCCCGCATAAGGACCACTTGATGATTCAAACCCTAAGTTAATTCTTGGCGATACAAACTTGCAGATGTTTTAACCAAGACAATAAATGTACCCTCACCACCCCCGAAGTTATTAGACACCTTGTGTAGGAATCACAGTCAACATAGTCATTAAATATGAGTGTTTATGTGAAAGCCAATCATATATGGCCTGCAAATGGATGGTTTGATTTCAGTGAATGTTTGAGTCATAAATCACTTACTAAAGGAAGTTAGGATGATCAGGTTTTGTGCATTCTTTACTGCCTGTCAGAGAAAATGAGGAAGAAAGGTTGGGAAATATTAGAATAGCAGGCAAATGGCCTTATATGATTAAGGTAACTAGTATTTATAAACTGGACAAATGGGTGTATGTTCATACTGGCCTTCAAACCAGAAACCAAATACCGAGCAGGGCTTGCATGTGGGAGGCAGTGGGAGGTAGAAGGAATTTAGATGACAAAAAGAAGAGGTCTTTCATTTTTTGCTATTTGAAAATAAAATAATAATGCTTCTATATACTGTATATTTATCAGACATAACTGTATATTTTGCATCCTTTGATTCCCATAATTACCATACGAGAGTGATGTTAGTATGCTGAATGTACAGAAAGGAAAATACAGCTCAGAGAGGCTAAATAACTTAAGTTCGGAGAGAAAAATTATAAATCCAGTATTCAGGAGACTGCTTGAAAACTACATTTCACCAGATGTATGAAAAGCTTTAAGGGAGGTGCTATCTCCTTGTGGAAAAAAATTAATCTAGAATACATTCATCTTTAAGGAGGAGAAAAAAATATAAGGCTGTATTTTTATTTCAAACTTCTATCTTGTGCCAAGTTTTGCTGAGTGCTTTACATAAGTCATTTCATTTCATATTCCCTGAAAACCTATAAGGTAGGTATTAATATCCTCATTTATAGAAAAGATAATCTGATTCCTGCAAAAGACTGAGCAACTTGAAGCTAGAATTTAATCCCAGGTCTGCCTAATTCTAAGCCCTATACTTTAAACGCTCTGTGTACAGCCTTCCTCTTCTTATCTAAATAAGAATTAAGGTGTACAACTTGGAACCAGAGGGCAGATAAATTTACTAGAATATTTAAAAATTGTTTGATATTGAACATTCCCATCACATTTATTTCCCTGTGATTTTAAAAAACAAAATCTGCTGAATTAGCTATTACCTGATTGTTATATCCTGAGCTAGTTGAGTCCATTCTTGGGATTCCAGGAATTAGTTTTTGTAACCTGTGCTAAGCTAATTCTCCACTTTTCATTCTGACTCTCACCAGAACTAGGCTAATTCCAACATCATTACATGTTCTCTATAGTTAACAATTCTAATATATGTGCAATTAGAGATGGAGTCACTCTGTTACAGTTTTCTTTTGCATTCTTTACCAAAGGACACTTGCCTAAAAAAAAAAGGATTTTGTGTGTGTGTGTGTTTGTGTTTGTCAGCAATATAATGACAAAAAGCCATTTCAATATGGTTTTTGAAATAGGAAAATTGTTATGTTAGGCAATGACAAAATAGTTTTGGATACAACAGTCATTTCTAACAACAGATTCTCCATATTTGTTAGTAAGTTATGTAATTTTGAGGCCACACCTTTTCGGAAGTATGAAAGCCTAAAAATTACTCAATTGGACTGCATCACCATGCATAAACTCTGTGTTCTATCTTAGGAAATAGAACCAAGGATATTCTATGGGATGTTAATTCTGCTGTTCTGAGATTTGATAAACATGTCCATATATTTTAATACTACATTTCAAAAGATCTAATCATTTTCATGTTATGATCACTCTAATAATTGAAACCATCAACACACACACAGCTTGCTATCTATGTTAACTTTGCTATTTTTATGTTTTTATTAATATGCTTTTCCTTTTCACACACTTTCATCATCAACATTACTATTCTCAAAGATTTAGCAAAGAAGATAAAAGTTACAAATAACTTTACTGTTAATTCTGGAAATTTCCTAAAAAAATTATTTAAATGTTCATCAAACTGTTCAACCTGAATAGATGGCACCCAATGGTTATTTCCTTCTAAAGATTATTTAAACCCTCTCTTAAATCCTAGCCTCAGTTGGGGTATAAACATATATATATATATATATATATATATATATATATATATATACACACACACACACACACTCATATATATATATATATACTCACTATATATATATACTTACATTTTTACTCAGATGAAACATACATGTACATACACACATATACTTGTTGATAGATTTATTCTTCCCTTATTGCAGTTATCTAATTATTTATTCTTCCCATATTGCAGTTATGTACATACACACATATATAAGTTGATAGATTTTTCCCTTATTGCAGTTATCTAGATAATTATTTATTCTTCCCATATCACAGTTATCTAGATAATTATTTTTTTCATTGATACAAAGATCCTGAATTGTTAGACCAGAAGTAGAGTATCATTTACTTTCTTTCTGTTCTTTTTTTTCTTAATTTCTAATATGACCTTTATTTTGGAATGATTGAAAAATAAAGGAAAAAGATGACCCTTACTGAAGGCTTAGCTAACTGTGCATTAACCACCTCAACAGGAGCTCTTGTTCAGAGAACGATTCTAGTAGAACTGAATCCAGCATAAAAACCATCATCTGGCATTAACAAGGTAGCTACTACTGAGCATTGACCACTGATAAGTTTCAAGACAATTATTCTCTTGATTATTTTTTAGATAATTCTGGAGGGTCTTTTGATGACGAGATAACTTCTAGTGTAAGAATACTAGAAGCTGAATTTAAACAAAGGGAGAAAGAATGAAAATTTGAAGAAAATTACCAATTTGTAATTAAAATTTTGTTTCATAAATCTTTATTATTTTATGTTTTCCAGGTTATGTTTTTATTTATTTTGTGGATTAGATTTATATTATTTGGTGATTTTAAGTTTAAAATTAAAATAGATTTCTGGTAATTGACTTTCTGATTGTATTTTCCATTAAATCCTTTATTTAAAAAGATTCTGAATAACTTTCCAATTTTACTGTGTATGACTTTGTTGTTGTATAGCTCTATCAATAATAAAAATAATAGTCTTACAAACAAAATATCTCTCACCTAATGTTATTTAAATAATCGTATCTGGTAAAATACCATTCTTGATTTCTAATTTCATACACGTTATCAAAAGTGGTGTTGCCACCTCAGAGAAATGTGGATCCATTATTTACAACTTAAAATGGTTTCTTAAAAATTGAAGAAATGCATAGAGGTCAAAAATAATTCTGAAAGAACAATTTTTCTGTGGAAAGAAGTAAATATATTTTTTTCTGAGAGTAAAGTTTTAACTCAGGCCTATTCAAATGATGGTAAGTGATTAATACAAAAATTTTGGCCTAACTGCTGCATTGATTTGTATTTATTAAGCATTTAAAAAATTGCAGTTTTGCTTCATGAGGTACTTATAGGGGAAACAAAATTTTATGTTTTCAGGATATTTTTCTTCTGGCTGGGTCTGAGAATTAAATAAGCAAAGGATAGATCAGCTAGAAAAAATAGAAATTCATTTAATAAAAGTTATATGTGGCATGGGAGCCTTATGAAAAAATGTAGACCCAAAGACTCAGAGTTGAACACTTATATACTGAATTAGTATAAGTGACAAGAAGTAAATTGTGAAAAGGCAAAAAAAAAAAAAAAAAAAAAAAAGCTTTGGCTAAGGTGGTTAGTTGGGTGTGGAAGTGCCTGGCAAGGTTTATTTCTACAGATTCCCCCCAGCCTTACATTTCCATCTTTGATGGTGAGAATGATGCTTTCCTTCTGGAACAGAGAGGAAATTTGTTACATGGAAATTTTGTCTGCAGCTTTTAAGAAACAGAAGGAAGGTCGAAATGATAAACTTGTACCTGCTGTTTTTCAAGTGCTTTTACTCAAAATAGTCAAAATGCCACAGTGGCATATTTTGAGGTGGCACGACCCTAACTCTTCAGTTCCCACTATGTCTGCAGTGTTGCATCTGCCCTCAAGGTGCTTCCAGTTTTGCCAGAGCCAAATGTTACTCCTATGATTTGGTTGGAGACTGGCACAAGGGTATGTAGGAAAGCCCTTAATTTTGTACATTCGAATGTCAAGGTGTTTTTTCTGCGTAGAACATACTATCACCAAATGAAGAGATTAATAGGGGTAAAGGGAGAGGTGAGTCATATGGGGTACAAGCAATAAAACATCATCTAAGAAGAAATGACATTTCTACTAAATCAATGCTAAAAATAAATTACAGAAAACATCTTTTCTGTAATACTAGGAACTTGCAGAATCACAAAAACAGAAGCATGTCAGGTACTTACTGGCCATGTTATCCTGAATGACTTATTTAACAGTGCTGAGTCTGTTAAATTTTCTCATCTGTAAAATTACAATAATCATACCTACGAACTAAGATAGCTCTGAGAATTGAATACAAGTTGCCAGCATAGAACACAGCACATCATGAGTGCTCAATAAAAGCAGCCCATGCCCTTTTAGTGCATTACCTGTAAATAACATTTTACCATGTTTATCTGCCTTGGTAGATAAACTGAGCTGTAAGATTGAAGAGATGGCGTACATTTAAAATGAGCAGGAGGAGAGCTGCTTTATCACATGAAAATAAAAAAAAATAGACTATGGTTGTAAATACTATAACTTATCTCATTAAAAATTGAAATACAGCATAGGTTTTGGAGTTTCAAATGTTTCACATTGTTACATAATAATATAGGCCTATCTTTACCTCTGGGAGGTAATGGGCTGTGAAGTAAAGGCATCAGCTTTTATATGATTTCTCGTCTGGACTGAATTAATTTAGTACAAATTGATGAATAGCTTTAGGTTGTTTTTAGTAAAAATCATATTATAGGAGCCTTTGTTCCATTCAATTATAGAGGCATTTTCTATTTTACTCTGAGGGAGTGATGTACTTCTGACAGGTATTAAAAAGAATTCCACTGAATTTTTAAATATAAATTAGTGCAGAAAACTTAGTATCTTCTTATATAAATGAAAATGACCACTTTTTTCTTTTTACTTTTCTAGTATAAGGTAAATCTTATATGTAAGATTTACATGTGCTTTTGTGCTAATAAAAGGTACAGAAGAAATAAGGTATCTATAAACTAGATACAAGTCTTGGCAAATCAAACGATTAAGAATATCTGTTATCAGCTGGGAGCAATGGGTCGCGCCCATAATCCCAATACTTTGGGAGGCCAAGATGGGCGGATCACCTAAGGTCAGGAGTTTGAGACCGGCCTGGCCAACATGGTGAACCCCTTCTCTACTAAAAAGAAGCAAATACAAAAATTAGGTGGGCGTGGTGGTACACACCTGTAGTCCCAGCTACTTAGGAAGCTGAGGCAGGAGAACCACTTGAACCCTGGATGCAGAGGTTGAAGTGAGCCACTGCACTTGTCAGCTGCTATTGTTTAAACTAGGGTCTTTTTTTTTAAAATGCAGTCAGTACTGATCATCTTTAATAAAAAAGTCTTCTTATGATCATATGGACTTTTAAAACATTTTATCTGATATCATTTTCATTAATATTTAAACATAAAATAAACCCAGAGTCTCACTTACATTTATTAAATATCTCTATTTACAATGAACTAAAATCAGGACCCTAATGGATATAATGGAAGGAGTTCTCTATTTAGACCCATTAACCCAATTTTAGTTGATATCTAAATAAATAAATGATTCTTTAATATAATGGGGTATCAATGCTATCGATTTTTTAAAAATGTTATTGAATATAAGACAGTTCATAATCCTCCATCTCAGAAAATGAGTAATGTTGCCTTATGAAATATCATTTTCAATCGTCATTAAGAAACACACAAGTGAGCAAAAGAATTTAAAGAAATCTTAATGAGGTTTAACTCTTAAAATTAATTTATATTGTTTTCTGGAAATTGAATTTGTGACCACCCTACGTTTTGTGTAAAATATTAGTTTATGAACAAATTCACCTAAAATAACAATCAAGGGCATTATAATTCATTATAACATGATTTTCTTTTTCAGATAGTGTATTCATTTATTTCTTTGATAAGGAAGATTATACTTCAAAAAAATTTTTTTTCAAAATGTTGTAACTCCCTACTCAAAGAATTTTTTGGGTAGGGAAACTACTCTGTATGGTAGTATAATGATGGATACATATCATTTTACATTTGTTGAAACCCATAGAATACGCCAACGGTGAACCATATGTAAACTATGGAATCTGGGTGATAATGATGTGTCAATAGGTTCATCAGTTGCACACAAAGCTACTGCTCTGGTGGGTGATGTTAATAATGAGGAAGTATATGCACGTGAGGGAACAAGGAGTATAAATAACCTCTCTGTATGCTCTGCTCAGTTTTACCGTGAACATAATACTGCTAAAAACGAGTCTTTTTATTTTTTTTCAAGTCACACATTTATCTTAAGGACTGTTGTAAACTACATCAACTTTGATATAGTAGTTTTGGAATATAATGGCTTTTTAAATTATAAGGCTAATAATGTCAGTCATTTAACTTTTCTACATCTCACACATATAAAAGTTACTACTTATATTTTTCTTATTATGATGCTCTCATGTTTCCGAAGTGCTTCAAATTGGTGCATTGTTCTTAGGAGGAAATCGGCAAGATGTCAAACCACATTGAATAACAATATACAAGAAATAATTACAAACAATAAATTTCCATCATTATTTACATTCAAGTTATCTTTGTGAATTATTCTTTAAATATAACATTACCTTGATATGAGCTCCATGTGTTTCCACATAGTCTAGTTCGAGACAGACACTAAGCAAAAAATCACAATGCGATAACTGGTAGGACAGACACAATTACCAAGTTCCTAAGCAGAAGGAGATTGAAACCAATTCTGTTGGGGCATTGAGGGCAGGGCACAATGACTTCAATAAAGTCTAACTTATTCCAGCCTGCAATTATTACCATTGTTAATCAAAATATGATCTTATGATTTGAAAGCCACATTACACTGCTGCCTTTTGTGACCTGACTATAATCTTTCATGAGAAGTATACGTATAAAACCAAACTCCTAGGACAAATTGTATTTTAAAGTAGAAAGAATTGGTTTTGATGTACAATCTCATTGAATGATTTAAACTGTCTACTAAGAGAGATCTTTGAAAAAGTTAAGGAATGATAAATGCTCTTTCTATAACAGAAGAAAATCAGCATTAATTGCTGAACCATATTCTTATGCCTTTTTAAAATCAAACATCCTCTACTGGAATGCTGGTATGTCTATGCTAAGAACTAAGATTCTTCTTGGAGAATTGAAATAAATAGTCAAAGCATGGGTTGGAAATAAAAATAAATGCAATTTGTAAGATAATATTAGATACTAAGAATGTGGTAATGGCATAACCATTATTGTGTAAGTTTACATTGTGACCTTACATTCAAATGAGCGCAAAAATCTATGAAATAAGTACTAGTTTCTCTTCTATTTGGATTATTTTCTATGTGGATGTGTTTGTTCAGTCAGATACATTGTTGCATTTTTTTTTTAATGCTCCCCTCTACATAACTTCATTGGAATAGAAATTCAATTTGATTACAAAATACTAGTGCAGTATGCTTCATAGCATCCTCCATAGACTTGGCATCAAAATCATCTAGAGATCTTGTTAAAAAGTAATTTCCCTGGTATACTCAAGGCCTTCTGAAAACCAACACCTCCAGGCATAGAGTTCAGGAATCTGTATTTTTAACAATAACTTCTGATGATGTTAACCCACTAAAGTGCTAAAGTACAAACACCACTCTACTGCATTAGTGAATTTATCTTTACTGACCCACGTACTATACTACTAAATCCATTGATACTTATGCATGCATTTAAGGAACCATCTTCTCATGAAATCTTCCCTCAGCATCTCAGTGACGACAAATCCTACACACACAGTTCCAGTGAAATTCTAAAAAGCTTATTACTGAATTGATATAACATATGCTTAAGAACCGAGAATGGAACTGAATGTTGACATCCTGGCTTCCCCACTGTCTGGCAAATGGCCTTGGACTTTTGCTCAGCTTCTTCATTTGCAAATGTTTATAAAAATAGAACTCATTTCATTATGCTATTATCATGATTACTTGAGTTAATGCAGTATAAAAGTTTTAGAACAATCCCTGGCAAAAGTTTTAGAATCATCCATTAAGTGTTGCTATTATTACTTTTATACTTCATTTTCATACCTCATCATAATATTAATACAATTATGACTGTATCTCTTCACTCTCAAATGATAGAGTGATAAGTTTTTTTAAGGCAATACTTTCCACTTACTTTCTATATTAATAAAGCTTAGTATAAATAAATAATGTAGCAGATAAACTACTAACATGGATAATAGTCCTTGGATGGCTCTTTTTATGTGGATTCTCTATTGACTTTCTTTCTGCACAAGCATTTTGGCATTAAATATGCATCTGGAACAGGGATTTATGCATTGTTTACAAGTAGCTCCCATATATTCAAACCTCAAATTAGGGACATGCATATCATCAAGCTTATCTCATTATTTTCTTCCAATTTCCTTATCAATTCACTTCCATGTGATGTGACAGTACATAACTAACATCCTCAACTTTATTTGCAGAATGTGATCTGTATCCCAAAACCATTCAGTAGAGCCCATAGAACATAGCTCAGTGCCTTGACAGATGAGATGTTTAGTAAAGTTTTTCATATAAGTTTAAAAAACTTTTCCTAAAACCTTAATTAAAATCTCCTCAGAAAATTTCCATCAAGATACATAGGTAGGACATGTAATAAAATAGTCAAATTGGGACAATGTTGAATGAAATGATTTTTGAGTAAATTATGACTTCCTAATTTCTCTTTTTAATTTTTTAAATTTTCTAGTGTTTTAATTTTATTGATGCATGATATTTTACATATTTATGGGCTACAAGTAAATCTTTGTTACATAGAATGTATGATGATTAAGTCAGGAAATTTGGAATATCCATCACATTGAGCACTTCTCATTTAAATATTTTGTGAGCAATTTGTCTTCTCCAGCTACTCTGAAATATACAACACATTGTTGCTAACTATAGTCACCCCACTCTACTATCAAAAATTAAACTTATAACTTCTATCTAACTGTATGTTATACTCATTTACCTCTCTTCTTCTACTACTATCTCATCCTTCTTTTCCTCTGGTATCCATCATTCCACTCTCTATCTTCAGAGATCAATTATTTTAGCTCCTGAATAGGGGTGAGAACCTGCAATGTCTGTCTTTTTGTGCCTGTCTTACTTCACTTAACAAATGACCTCCAGTTCCTACAATGTTGCTGCAAATGTCATGTTTTCATTCTTTTTTGTGGCCAAATAATATTCCATTGTATACAAACCACATTTTCAAAAATTCATTTGTTCATTCATTAACACTTAGGTTGATTTCATATATTTGCTATTGCAAATAGTGTTGCAATAAAATGTGAGTGCAGGTATCCCTTTGATCCACTGATATTTACATAAATACACTATGGTAGTGTCTTTTTGTTTGTTTGTTTGTTTTTGTTTTGGTTGCGGGGACCTCCATACTGGTTTTCGTAATGGCTATATGAATTTACATTCCCATATCCTTGCCAGCATCTGTGATTTTTTTGTCTTTTTAATAATAGCCATTCTAACTATGCAGCCATAAAAAAGAATGAGTTCACGTCCTTTGGAGGGACATGGATGAAGCTGGAAGCTATCATTCTCAGCAAACTAACACAGGAACAGAAAACCAAACACTGCATGTTCTCTCGCATAAGTGGAAGTTGAACAATGATGACACATGGACACAGGGAGGAGACCATCACACACTGGGACCTGTCAGGGGTTGGGGGGAAAGGGGAAGGAGAGCATTAGGACAAATACCTAATGCATGCGGGGCTTAAAATCTAGATGAAAGGTTGATAGGTGCAGCAAACCACCATGGCACATGTATACTTATGTAACAAACCTGCACATTCTACACATGTATCCCAGAACTTAAAGTAAAATAAAATAAAAAAGATCATAGCCATTCTGATATAAAATGATATTTCATTGTGATTTTGGTTTGCATTTACCTGATGATTAGTGATGTTGAGCATTTTTTCATGTACCTGTTGGCCATTTGTGTATCTTGAGAAATGTCTATTCATATTTTTTGCCCACTTTTTAATGATGTTTTTGTTTTTTTTACTGTGGAGCTGTTGGAGTTCTTTGAATATTCTGGATATTAGTCCTCTGTCAGTTGAATAGTTTGCAAATATTTTGTCCCATTCTATAGGTTTTTCTGTTCACTTTGATGACCGTTTCCTTTGTTGTGCAGAAGCTTTTGAGTTTAATCTAGTCTCATTTGTCTATTTTTTAATTTTTATTTTCTGAGCTTCTGAGGTCTTAGCCATAAAATCTTTGCCTACACCAATGTCCTGAATTGTTTTCCTTATTTTTTTTTCTACAAGTTTTAGAGTTTCACATCTTACATTTAAGTCTTTAATCAAACTTGAGTTGATTTTTGTATATGGTGAGAAATAGAGGTCAGGAATTTTTTTCTGGATTATTCTATTCTATTCTATTCTATTCTATTCTATTCTATTCTATTCTATTCTATTAGTTTATGTGTTTGTTTTTATACCAATACCATGCTCTTTTGTTTACCAAAGCCTTGTAATATATTAAGTCTGGTAGTATGATGCTTCCAGCCTTGTGCTTTTTGCTCAGGATTGCTTTAACTATTCAGGCTCTTTTTTGGTTTCATACAAATTTAGGATTGTCTTTCTAATTGTGTGAAAAATGACCTTGGAATTTTGGTAGAGATTGCATTGAAGACTGATTTGGGGAGTAAATATGGTTATTTTAACAATATTAATTATTTCAACCTATGAGCATGGGATGTTCCATTTGCTTCTATCCGCTTCAATTTTTTTATCATTGTTTTGTAGTTTTCGTTTTAGAAATATTTTACACTTTTGGTTAAATTTATTCCTAGATATTTTGTTTTATTTGAAGCCACTGTAAATGGGATTGTCTTCTTGATATCTTTCTTAGCTAGTTCATTATTGGTGTATGGAAATGCTACCAATTTTTGTATGTTGATTTCGTATCCTGAACCTTTACTGAATTCGTTTATCAGATGTGAGTTTTTTGGTGGAGTCTTTACATATAAGATCATATTATTAGCAAAGGGAGAGAATTTGACTTCCTCTTTTCCAATTTAGATGCCTTCTGTTTCTTTTTCTTGAACGCTCTGGCTAGGGCTTCTAGTATTATGTTGAACAGAAGTGGTGAAAAGTGAGCATTTTTGGCTTTCTTGTCTTTTTCCAGTTATTAGAGAAAAGGCTTTCTGCTCTTCCCCATTCAGCATGATAGTAGCTATAGAGTTGTGTATGGATTTTTTATGTTAAGATATGTGGCTTCTATGGCTAGTTTGTTGAGAGCTTTTATCATGAAGGGATGTTGAATTTTATCAAATGCTTTTTCTGCATCTGTTAAGACAATTATATAGTTCTGGTCCTTCATTCTGATGGTGTAATGTATCACATTTACTGATGTGCATATGCTGAACCATTCTTTCATACCTGGAATAAATCACACTTGTACATGTTACATTATTGTTTTTTTGTTTTGCTATTGGATCTGTTTTACTGCTATTTTGTGAAAGATTTTTATAGTTATGTTCATCAGAGGCATTGGCCTGTAGTTTTCTTATTTTCGTTGTGTCCTTGTTTGCATTTCATATCCAGGTAGTGGTGGTCTCATAGTGTGAGTTAGGAAGAGTTCTCTTATTTTCAATTTGATGGAATAGTGTGAGTGTTAGTTGTTGGTGTTAGTTATTCTTTGAAAGCCTGGTAAAATTTGGCAGTGAAGCTATCTGGTCCTGGACTTTTTTTTCTTGAGAGGCTGTATTAGTCCATTCTCACACTAGTATTAAAAAATTACCTGAGACTGAGTAATTTATAAAGAAAAGAGGTTTAATTGACTGACAGTTCCATAGGCTGTACAGGAGGCATGGCTAGGAAGCCTCAGGACACTTACAATTATGATAGAAGGCTAAGAGAAAGCAAGCGCATCTTACCATGGAGGAGCAGGAGAGAAAGAGAGCGAAGGGGTAAGTGCTACACACTTTTAAACAACCAGATCTCATGAGAACTCATTCACTGTCATGAGAAGAACAAAGGGGAAGTCTGCCCCCAAGATTCAATCACTTCCCACCAGGCTCCTCCCCCAACACAATTCAACATGAGATTTGGGTGAGGAAACAGAGCCAAACCATATCAGAGGCTTTGATTCCTGCTTTGATCTTTTACTTATTATTGTTCCGTTCAGTTTTT